>NC_000007.14:146125046-146276561 GCF_000001405.40 Homo sapiens
TCATCCCTAAAGAATATGTTAAAACGAATGCTTAACTTATAGTAGAAGAGATTTTCAATGGCAGTAATGAAATTTCCAAAAATGAAATTTAATCATGCCTCATGCACTTCTGTAGTATATGTAAGTTTTATTTATATATCTTAACGTAAGCATTTAAGTTATTAAGTTATGACTAGTTAAAAGGAAATAGTAGCATAGTTAATTGTGTTTTTGTATGTCCACAGTACAGAATTAAGAATAACTATTTTGGCCAGGTGCGGTGGCTCACGCCTGTAATCCCAGCACTTTGGGAGGCTGAGACAGGCGGATCACGAGGTCAGGAGATCGAGAACATCCTGGCTAACACGGTGAAACCCCATCTCTACTAAAAATACAAAAAATTAGCCGGGCGTTGTGGCGGGCGCCTGTAGTCCCAGCTACTTGGAAGGCTAAGGCAGGAGAATGGCGTGAACCCAGGAGGCGGAGCTTGCAGTGAGCCGAGATCGCGCCACTGCACTCCAGCCTGGGTGACAGAGCAGAGCGAGACTCCGTCTCCAAAAAAAAAAAAAAAAAAAAAAAAAGAATAACTATTTTATTGTGTCAGTTGACAAAAATAGTACCGTGTCAGAGATAAAAATGTGCCGTGGTGGGGTATTAACATTGCTTCTACCATTAAGAACATAAACAAAAACAACCTTATTCCAATATTCTAGATACTGAGGGGGTTATTTTTGTGGAATTGATTCCAAAGACAGGGATGCTTGATCAAAGAAGATGTTTAGTTTTTGGCTAATAAATGTTGCCTGATTGAGTTCCACAAATTCTGTAACAATTTACATTTTCAGCATCAATCAATGAGTGTCCTTTTCTAGAACTCCAGGCAGCAGTACATATTATACTTATAAAACGTTCTGCTTGTATTACGTAAATAGCTAATATTTGTTGTGTTGACTTCTTATTAAATGTTTCTTCCCAGCCTTTCAAATCAGGCACTACTCTTTATGTGTACTAGGTCATTTATTTCTTATAACAATGCTTCAGTTTGCAAATGAAAAAATCAGAGACACATGGAGAAGTAACTTCCCTGGGCCACCAGCTTGGCCTATTTCCAGGTCCAGTGCTCTTCACTGTGGCATAGCTGGCTGAGAGTGAAGTGCTGTCTCTGTGTTCAAGTTCTCTAACTAAGAAGTTTCAGCTTACATCTAGGCAACATTTTAAGGCTTGATTGCTTGTATATAAAGGAAAAAGCCTATTGGCATAATGTTTCTATCTTTTTGTTTACTTATTCCTTGATGACACTGTCATATGTTCTGGAGACTTAAAAATTACATTGGTAAAAAATAAAGAAATATATTTGAAATAAAGAGAGGAATGCAGCTCTTTCAATGGTAGCACATTAAATCATAATATATATGTCATTTTTGTTCTTCTTCACAATAAGGTACTTTTGCAGTGTAGTTCTATCATTTGAGTACTATTGAAATACATGTAATAGTCATGTAGTGAAAACATTTATTTAAAGCTATGTAAAATATTTCTTAAAATGCTTTGTCAGGTATACATAAAAGCTGTCTTTAAATCAGTTCTCAGGAAATGTTGAAGTCTGTATCGAAAACTGTAAATATGATTGCTATTACTAAAGTTAAAAGATGGTAATTGTTTAATCTATAAGCACAGTTTTGAGTATTCATTTCATACAATAGCTAATCCATGAAGCTTTTCTTGAGAGTGCTGTTGAGAAAATAACTTTTTCCTTTGCTTTCATGGCAGTGGGAAAATATTTGTCTTTAAAATATTTGCCAGTCCTAATGCTTAAATATTTCTTGTATCCATCCGCTGCTCTCCATTCCTATCACAGCTTCTATAGTTAAGATTTTCAGCATTTCCCTCCAGGCATTAATTTAGTAGCCTCCTGGTATGTCTCCCGGATTCTAATCTTCCCCCTCTAGCTTATCATCTATATCTATGCCAGAAATACTTTCCCAAAACACAAATCTTGTTATAGTACTGCATTTCTCTAGTTCTTCCCTGTCTCTTAAATTTAGTCTCCTCCTAACCCAACATTTGCACCCTATAATCTAACCGACCATACTGAGATCTTTGCAGTTTCTCTAACACAACATGCTGTTTCGAATCATATTTCTCTTATACCTTGTTACATTTTGTCCCCTCCTTTCATTTTTCCTGTTTTATCTATGCTGTTTTAGAGGAAACTCATTTACGGTCCAAGCCTCAGAATCTTGGAGCAGACTGATGTATCAACACCTCCCTGTGGCAATTTGCTCTAATCACAGGTGAAATACTAAGACGCAGCAGGCAAATTCTTTGGTTTCTGAACTTATAAGGAACACAGTGATCACAAATAATGAAAACCACCTCCAATTATCTGATATTAAAGTGAGAAATTACCCCATAGTATCGACAACAGAAGGAAGGCGAGAAATATATTTTCAAAGAATAAACCACAAATATTTTCCTCATTTTATAAGTAAATGTGTATCTATCATAAGGGAAATTTGAAACCATGCTGTGAAAGCTTACAACTTCTGCAACCCTTTTTCTACCGGATTTTATTTTAAAAGATTTTCTCTGCTTTTCTTAAGCCACATGGGTGATCACGTGCCTTTAAACCCAAGCCTGACTGTCCTTTCCACAAGCTATTATCTGAAGAATTATTTGTTATCTGCATGCAAATTAAAGACGTGTCAACAAAATAATTATTGCATCTAACAAGTACTTTAAATAGAGTACTTAAGATGTCACCAAATCTTCTAAATGATAGCTGTAGCTTCTGAAAAACTTGATAACTATATATATTTAGTGTGTAATAATCCAGCAGATGCGTTGATATTGTTGAAGTTGTTATGAAATGTCAATGAATTTCATTTCCACTTTTAATATGACAAAAATATAATTTTATAAGTATAAAAATAGTTACTTCTATTCTATTTGTTTATATTTTAAACTCCGTCTTCATCCTTACCTTTGCAACTTAGTACACACTTCTGAACCATTTCAAAGTTGGCCAGTCTAGCGAAGCCTGTTTCAAATTTTATATTCTTCACAATGATCCCTGCAGTGATGCCTACTAAAAACACATTACTCTCTTTTCTATTAGTCCACAATCTGCATGAGCAGAGCCTGTATTTTTTCCCTTAGGCTGATAGGTATTAGGGAATGGTTGTATTAAAGGAACTAGACTTTAGTAAACATGTTTCATCATATTAGGTACTGTACTGGTTGCATTATACCATTACATGAAATTAGCCCAAATACCTCTGTGCTGTAATATTCAAAGTATAAGGATGCTCAAGCATTTTAAAGCTCACTGGTTCCATCTTTATACAGTTCTTACTTTTGTCAAGTCCTTCCTTGCATTGATACAGATTTACACTCCCATAAATTCCAGCCAGTAGTTCTAGTTGGGCTTCTCAAATAAAAGCTTAATATTTACCCAATATTCTACTGCCGTAAAATACTTGAAGACAAATATAGAATCTAATTAAATATAATTTAAGACTTAGTCGCTACTACTTTTATAGATAGCCAACTAATACCTTGAAGACAAACACATTCCTTAAAACACTGTGATTTATATTTACTTATGTCCTCCAAATTACCCAAATATTTCTAGGTACACAACCAGTGTTAAATAAATACAATTGAAAATGGAATTGAAATGGGTTAGCTCTGTATACAAATTGTTTCTTAAAGTGCTTATAGCTAGGTTATAGCAACAAATATACATTGTTGTGTTTTGATAGCTAAAAGCATCATACTAAGAAGTATTATAATTGTAATATAATGTTAGTTGCAAACAAGTGTGTCTGTAAGTAATCTTGGTATTACAGAAAAAAAAACTGCCTTAAAACTTACATATCTGTATGAGTCAAAACCAAAAATGAAACAGAAATATTTAAAGGGACTGTTGTTTAAAAGTAATAGGACAACTACAGTTATTTTAAAAGATAGTTTATACTTATTTGCTCAGTGTGAAATAAAACATTTTTAAATTTTAATTTATTATCTACTCTTTGCCCAAAGTATATTAGAAAAATGTTACTGCAATTTGAGTAGTCTTCATATTGTGATAAAATAGGTAATTATTATATGCAATAATCTGAGGCATTTTCGTTTTACAGAGCATATAATCACCCACGTATCAATTTTTGGAATTTAAAATGTGTTGTTGGCACAATTAGAATCATGTATCTACTTTCAAAGAGAGATTTCAGAATATTGCAAATAAAAATGACATTGTTTCTTTTATCAAATTGGCATCAATAGGGCCTTTTTTTCAAAAAAAGCTTTTAGATCTGCTATTTGTTCATTTATATGTGTATAATTACAGTATTCAGAGGATCTCTCATGCTGTGTTTGTTTCCACATATGGATTTTCAAATGACAAAGTCTCAAGTGGTGGCGCTAAAGACAAACCATGCTAGCTACTCAAGCATTTCCTTCCTGGAGTTGTACTGTGTCAACTGCTCCCTAAGAAATGGGTAAAGAGGGACTACTCAGAAACATGCATTGAGCATCAGCATGTTTTTGAAAGATTAATCTTCTAGACCTGGAACTAAAAGTATCTTCCAGTTATTTTCTTTATTATCCACTTTATCAGCTTCCACATAACACATTCAGTTTTCTACATTTTAGTTTAAAAATTGCCATTTAATTCTATGCTTCTATGAAGTCACATATCCTACTTATGCTTTCTTAATTTCAAAATTATTTGCACTGTCCATTTTATAATATTTTATCTATCTTAATAATTTACCTTAAAGTTCTCTTTTATTGAATAGGTATGACAACATAGAAATTAAAATTATTGAATCATTCCAATTAGTCCACAGGTAAGGTCATCAGTGAGTGATTAAGGAAACTCTTTCTGTTATAACATTTTAGCTAAAACCTAAAGAAAAAGCCAAGCAAACAGCAGGAAAAGACTGTTCCAAGAAAAAGAGGACAACCTCACAATTCCAACATTGGCCAAGTTTGGAAGTCACTTTGATGAGGAGATATTTAGTGGTTTTGGAATTAGTCTTCTGTTAAACGTGTAATGAAAAGAAAATTTTGAAAGAGTAAATTATCCCGCTTAATTGTCTATCAGCAAATAGAAAAGAAATTTTCACTGGTTAGAAATATAGGCAGTCGGGCCGGGCGTGGTGGCTCATGCGTATTATCCCAGCACTTTGGGAGGCCGAGGCAAGAGGATTGCTTGAGGCCAGAAGTTTGAGACCAGCCTGAACAACATAGCAAGACTTTCTCTCTACAAAGAAATATTTAAAAACTAGCCAAGTGTGGTGGTGTGTGTCTGTACTGTAGTCCTAGCTACTGGAGAGGCTGAGGTGGAAGGATTGCGTGAGCCCCGGAGTTCAAAGCTACAGTGAATAATGATTGCACCACTGCATTTCAGCCAGCTGAGACAAGAGTGAGACTCTGCCTCTTAATAATTTTTTTAAAAAGAATTTAGGTCAGTATTAAAGTTTGTGATAATTCAATTATATTTAGCTTAGAGAATTTTGCTAATAAAAATAACTTTGATAATTTAACACATATGTATGTTATTGAAACAGCAAGCATTTTGAAGAGGCAATTTTCTAAATAACCTTTATTTCAAAGTGTATTGTTTATTGCTGTGTTAGTTTGTTTTCACACTGCTATAAAGGAATACCAGAGACTGGGTAATTGATAAAGGGAAGAGGTGTAATTGACTCACAGTTCTGCATGGCTGGGGAGGCCTCAGACAACTTACAATCATGGCAGAAGGCAAAGGGGAAGCAAAGGCACGTCTTACATGGTGGCAGATGAGAGAGAAGAGCATGAAGCGGGAGGATCCCCACACTTAGGAAACAACCAGATCTTGTGAGAATTCACTCACTATCATTTGAACAGCATAGGGGAACCATCCCTATGATCCAGTCACCCCCAACCAGGTTTCACCCTTGGCACTTGGGGATTAAGAGGGTTACAATTCAAGATGAGATTTGGGTGGGTTCACAGAGCCAAACCATATCAATCGCTGACTTTAAAGAAAACGAATAATATTGTTTCCAATCTTTACATAGTTTCACATAACATTTTTGAGAGTATAACTGTAACCCAACATTTACAATATATTTGTAGTTATTTTTTAATGTGAATAAAGGTAATATGACTCATATTCTTAAGAATTTCCCCTTGGCATTACTATGTTCTACTGTTTCAAAAGTTTGCTTACTTTAATAAGATTTCAATTATTTGGATTGTTAATACATTGAGATAGCGACTGAGGTTTATTCTCTCATTTAACTTATTTTTCATCCTATAAATGTAAGGTGTACAATATAATATTTTGATATACAGAGTAAACTGATTACTAAAATCAGAACACTAATATATTCATTATCTCACATAGTTTTTATTAGAGAGGTATGCATTTATAAGCTGCCAACAAGTCCAAGGATTGTTTTAAAATGTATCTTTCATTCTTATTACATTTGTGACTTCCTGGGTTCCATGCCAATTGTTTGTTTTTAAGAAATGTAGTGTTATAACAAGATTGTTTCAGAACTTCAATAATATGCACCTTCAAATAGAATATTATAGGTCTTGCTTTATAATTTGTAAACTTTCAGCATCTTTGCGGCTTAACTTTGCAACATACTTCAAAGACTTAGGCTTCATCTAATTTGACATAAAATAAACAATAACCAGCAAGTACTAGATGATTATGCATCTGATATGGTTTGGCTCTGTGTCCCCAAACAAATCTTATCTTGAATTGTAATTTCCACGTGTCGAGGGAGGGAGGTAATTGGATTATGAGCGCGGTTTCCCCCATGCTGTTCTCGTGATAGTGAGTGAGTCTCAATCTGATGGTGTTAAAAGTGGCAGTTGTTTCCTGTGCTCGAATTTACTCTCTCCTGCCACCTTGTGAAGAAGGTGTCTGCTTTCCTTTCTGCCGTGATTGTAAGTTTCCTTAGGACTCCCCAGTTATGTGGAACAGTGAGTCAATTAAACTTTCTTTGTTTATAAATTACCCAATCTCAGGTAGATTCTTTATAGCATTGCGAGAATGGACTAATACAGAATCTGTAATAAACTCATGCAGTATCTGTATCTCAGATTGTATCTGAGATTACAGTCTCTGCTAAAATACGTTCTTTACAGATGATCAATTTACTTAGAACATAGGCCAATAAGTGGTTATACACAGATGTCTGTTGGCCTTGAATAATAGCACTGGCCATTGTCAGAGTTGGTATTGGGGAGGTTGGTGTATAAAGAGTACGAACTTCATAGAGCAGCAATTCTCATATGCTAATATGCATATAAACTACCTGGCAGATTCTGATTCAGTAAATCTGGAGTGGAACCTATAATGTAACATTTATTTATTTATTTGTTTATTTATTTTTTTATTATACTTTAAGTTTTAGGGTACATGTGCACATTGTGCAGGTTAGTTACATATGTATACATGTGCCATGCTGGTGCACTGCACCAACTAACTCGTCATCTAGCATTAGGTATATCTCCCAATGCTATCCCTCCCCCCTCCCCCCACCCCACAACAGTCCCCAGAGTGTGATATTCCCCTTCCTGTGTCCATGTGATCTCATTGTTCAATTCCCACCTATGAGTGAGAATATGCGGTGTTTGGTTTTTTGTTCTTGCGATAGTTTACTGAGAATGTTTTCCAATTTCATCCATGTCCCTACAAAGGACATGAACTCATCATTTTTTATGGCTGCATAGTATTCCATGGTGTATATGTGCCACATTTTCTTAATCCAGTCTATCGTTGTTGGACATTTGGGTTGGTTCCAAGTCTTTGCTATTGTGAATAATGCCGCAATAAACATACATGTGCATGTGTCTTTATAGCAGCATGATTTATAGTCCTTTGGGTATATACCCAGTAATGGGATGGCTGGGTCAAATGGTATTTCCAGTTCTAGATCCCTGAGGAATCGCCACACTGACTTCCACAATGGTTGAACTAGTTTACAGTCCCACCAACAGTGTAAAAGTGTTCCTATTTCTCCACATCCTCTCCAGCACCTGTTGTTTCCTGACTTTTTAATGATTGCCATTCTAACTGGTGTGAGATGGTATCTCGTTGTGGTTTTGATTTGCATTTCTCTGATGGCCAGTGATGATGAGCATTTTTTCATGTGTTTTTTGTTTGCATAAATGTCTTCTTTTGAGAAGTGTCTGTTCATGTCCTTTGCCCACTTTTTGATGGAGTTGTTTGTTTTTTTCTTGTAAATTTGTTTGAGTTCATTGTAGATTCTCGATATTAGCCCTTTGTCAGATGAGTAGGTTGTGAAAATTTTCTCCCATTTTGTAGGTTGCCTGTTCACTCTGATGGTTGTTTCTTTTGCTGTGCAGAAGCTCTTTAGTTTAATTAGATCCCATTTGTCAATTTTGGCTTTTGTTGCCCTTGCTTTTGGTGTTTTAGACATGAAGTCCTTGCCCATGCCTATGTCCTGAATGGTAATGCCTAGGTTTTCTTCTAGGGTTTTTATGGTTTTAGGTCTAATGTTTAAGTCTTGAATCCATCTTGAATTGATTTTTGTATAAGGTGTAAGGAAGGGATCCAGTTTCAGCTTTCTACATATGGCTAGCCAGTTTTCCCAGCACCATTTATTAAATAGGGAATCCTTTCCCCATTGCTTGTTTTTCTCAGGTTTGTCAAAGGTCAGATAGTTGTAAATATGTGGCGTTATTTCTGCAGGCTCTGTTCTG
The DNA here is from genome assembly GCF_000001405.40 of Homo sapiens. Lineage (NCBI taxonomy): Eukaryota > Metazoa > Chordata > Mammalia > Primates > Hominidae > Homo > Homo sapiens. The sequence continues at coordinate 146,133,759 of NC_000007.14, forward strand.
TTCCATTGATCTATATCTCTGTTTTGGTACCAGTACCATGCTGTTTTGGTTACTGTAGCCTTGTAGTATAGCTTGAAGTCAGGTAGTGTGATGCCTCCAGCTTTGTTCTGTTGGCTTAGGATTGACTTGGCGATGCGGGCTCTTTTTTGGTTCCATATGAACTTTAAAGTAGTTTTTTCCAATTCTGTGAAGAAAGGCATTGGTAGCTTGATGGGGATGGCATTGAATCTGTAAATTACCTTGGGCAGTATGGCCATTTTCACGATATTGATTCTTCCTACCCATGAGCATGGAATGTTCTTCCATTTGTTTGTATCCTCTTTTATTTCCTTGAGCAGTGGTTTGTAGTTCTCCTTGAAGAGGTCCTTCACATCCCTTGTAAGTTGGATTCCTAGGTATTTTATTCTTTTTGAAGCAATTGTAAATGGGAGTTCACTCATGATTTGGCTGTTTGTCTGTTGTTGGTGTATAAGAATGCTTGTGATTTTTGTACATTGATTTTGTATCCTGAGACTTTGCTGAAGTTGCTTATCAGCTTAAGGAGATTTTGGGCTGAGACAATGGGGTTTTCTAGATATACAATCATGTCGTCTGCAAACAGGGACAATTTGACTTCCTCTTTTCCTAATTGAATACCCTTTATTTCCTTCTCCTGCCTAATTGCCCTGGCCAGAACTTCCAACACTATGTTGAATAGGAGTGGTGAGAGAGGGCATCCCTGTCTTATGCCAGTTTTCAAAGGGAATGCTTCCAGTTTTTACCCATTCAGTATGATATTGGCTGTGGGTTTGTCATAGATAGCTCTTATTATTTTGAAATATGTCCCATCAATACCTAATTTATTGAGAGTTTTTAGCATGAAGTGTTGTTGAATTTTGTCAAAGGCCTTTTCTGCATCTATTGAGATAATCATGTGGTTTTTGTCTTTGGCTCTGTTTATATGCTGGATTACATTTATTGATTTGCGTATATTGAACCAGCCTTGCATCCCAGGGATGAAGCCCACTTAATCATGGTGGATAAGCTTTTTGATGTGCTGCTGGATTCGGTTTGCCAGTATTTTATTGAGGATTTTTGCATCAATGTTCATCAAGGATATTGGTCTAAAATTCTCTTTTTTTGTTGTGTCTCTGCCTGGCTTTGGTATCAGAATGATGCTGGCCTCATAAAATGAGTTAGGGAGGATTCCCTCTTTTTCTATTGATTGGAATAGTTTCAGAAGGAATGGTACCAGTTCCTCCTTGTACCTCTGGTAGAATTCAGCTGTGAATCCATCTGGTCCTGGACTCTTTTTTATAATGTAACATTTCTAACATGCTCCCAGATGATGCTAATGCTGAGACTGATCTATGGACCACACATTGAGTAGCAATATTTTAAACTTTGAATCTATAATGAAAGATGTCATAGAAAATTTCCTACTTATTTTAAAATTAAGAAGCACACTTTAGAGGAAGAAAATTTTAAAAATATATAATTATGATATCTCATTTTTATTTTGGGTATAAATAGAAGGTATAATAGTGTAGTTCTATGATATGATTAGACGAAAAAAATTCAGAAAGATGTAGATACTCCACTAACTAGTTGGATAGCCTTAGACAATTTATATAATCTCTCAGAGTTTAAGTTTTTGTAGTTATGAGAGAATAAAACTAGATTATCTCTAAAATCCATTCCAGTTTTTAAATCTATGATTCTAGTCTCCTAGGCTTCTGAGTCTGAGAATGGAGAAGCACCTCTTATAAACCTCAGTCTTGCTTTTATATCTAACTGGAGATTTGGAATAGAGTTTCCAGGTTATTTATGAAGTTTAAATAATATTATACATATGAGTGTGGTGCTTAACAAATTGCCTTACCAATAACAAGTGCCTAACTAATGTTATTAATGTTTCCTATTGACAATATTTTTACCTACCTTAGTAAAACTGAATCTTAGAAAGTGAGTTAACTTCTTCCAGGACATACAGGTTTCTAGACATATGCTGAATCACTGTATAATAACAAAATACCTATGTAATTGATAATATATTAGAAATATACCTTTAAATAAAGCCAGTAATTATAATGAAATAAGAAAAATACCAAGGAAGAAAAAAATGCTTGTCTCTCTATGTTCAAGCTGGTAAAATTCCATCAAAATCAAGCTAATCTCAATTACCCAAATACTCTGTCCTCTTGTTTGATAGTCTGTGTGTGCATACTCCTTTTTATTCTAATATAATAGTGAAAATATTAAGCTTACCGATATGTAAATAGCCCCCAATTATATTGTGTGATGTCATGTTTGTAAAGCACACATTCATTTACTAAAATTATTCATTGTTTATTATTTATAGCTATTATTTCTACTAATAAAAAGCATTTCCACACATGAGCAAATGTATCAAAAAAAGTCTAAGAAGATGATCAGATTGATCAGTGTACTCTATGCCCTTCTTAATAGTAACTGAGTGTGATTTTTTACATTGCATACTGCCAGAAATCACCACATGTAGCATGGCAGATGGCTGCCAATAGTCTTGTTATCCTTTCATAAATTATGTGGCATTTATGCCATTAGGGTGATTTTTCAGTTTAGAAAAGACAACTAAGGGTCAGTCTTTTCTATGATAATGGACTCACAAGGGACCTCAAAACTTTACCATGAACATATTTTATATCTTAAGTTATCTTCCAGAGACTTTGAATGTTTGAAGCTGGTTGAGGTCGGGAAGTCAGGACAGAAGAGGGAGTAGAGCACACCTGCTCTAAGTATAGGCATTTCAACGTTCAGAGGAAATTAGTGTGGCGTGGAGGGGCACCAGGGGTGGTAGAGAGTTCATGCTGTGCTCTCTCGAGGTTGGATTCTACAGAAGCTCAGCGTTGGTGTGATTGTTGGTTAGTCTGGTGTGGTTTGGTTTGGTTCTTTAGTAGGTGGGGCCCCTAAGAACCTGAGTAATGTCCCCATGCACTAGTTCTGTAAACGCGGAAGCAGGTGGTGGCAGTTAAGTGACTCACACTCATTTAGGCTCTAAGCCGGCCCTCTCATTCAATATCCAGCAATTCGATTTCTACTGTTGGGTTTACGTTGCTTTGCTAGTCTGGGGCCTGCTTCGAAGTGTCAAAATAGCAGTGCCATTGTTCGTGGTGAATTTCCAGCAAAAGAAACAGACAGAATGTTTTAGCACCAAGTTGTGTGATTTGAGATTAAAATGCTCTGCATGGCTATTCCTCATGATGGCACTTTTGAGTGATTACTACAAGAAAAACGAACTGTTAAAATTTGAAAAGGGGAAAATGTTGGATACAGCTCAAATGATCCATATCAACTACTCAGTTATTCACCTGTGTTAGGTATTTCCCAACTTTTCTTGGGGTATCCTTTATAGAGTAGCCTTTGTCAAGTCTCATAAAAACAGAACTAATATACTTCCACAGTATGCAGTATTAATTTTATATTTCGATTTGCTCTGAAACTTTGTTCTCTCTTGAGACTAACAAGTAAATCATAAAGTGAATATTTTTCAATGTCGAAGTTGTTCTGAAAGTATAATTTTAAAAGTTCTTTCGGGCCATAATATATGCCTTTGGAGAAGTTAATATATTATTGAAATATCTACTTATTTCATCTGCCACATGAAAATAGGACTGTTTCATCTGTCCTTAAAAGCAAGGTGGAATATTTGCTTCTTTTGAAATGTCTGTGGCATTTTTTTTCTTTTGCATATTCTGCAACACAAAGAAATATTTAGGACTTGAAAGAAGAAGGTGAGCTGCTTGATTACGCTGTACTAGCAAACTGTGAATTTATGTTATTTACAAATTATAATTAAAAGCCTAAGAAGAAAATGCATGCATTATTTTATTTAAAGAAAAGCCTCTGCATAAAAACACTCATGGAAGAGTTATTTTCAATTTAAAAAATAGATGATTATGTGTACCATAAAATAGATGATTTCATGTACCATAAACTACTATAGTAATTTGCCAAGAGATAAGACCAAGGTTAATTTTTTTTCAAAATTAACTTTTAATTACAATTTAAATTAAATCACTTTAAGTAAAATCATAATTTAAAATTATTCTTTTAATCAAAAGGTTTTTATTTTAAAAATAAACATGTAGAAAAGAATTATATATACTTAATATTTAATTCTTTAAAAGTTTACTGAAAGGTCATCTAGTTACTTCTTAATGAGCACCATATTTAAATATATTTATAATGAGGTTTGGGTTTTTTTATTCTTTTCAAATTAGGTTTAAATATTTTTCAGTTAAATTTGGTTTTTGCAAACTACATTCCTTGCACATCATGAGGCTAAAGCCAGATATGTGACATAATATAAGAAAAGCATCCTAAGAGAGAAAACATTCTCAAGCTCTAAAACTATAAAACTTTAAGTATAAATTGATGATAAATGTCACATTGTTATTTTAACATTTTTTGTCTGGGAATTCTATGAAGAAGTAGGTGCAAAATGTTACTATGTGGAAAATGTAATGTACTTTGTGCATTGAATTTTAAAATGACATGGAAGGTCTGAAGAACACAGAAAGGTTGACAGCTCACCACAGATTTATTAAGTATATTCAGGTTTTTATCTCAAGATTTTTTTAATTACTTGAGTGTTGGTATTGATAAATTTGTTGTTGTTATTACTGAGAACTTAATATGTTACTATGTAGATTTCCTAAGTTCTCTTTCAATATTACTACTGAATTTGTAAATGATAAGTGATCATGAAATAAACTTATATGTTGAACAATATAGACCATATCATTCACAAGTATTAGGGACATTTCATTATGGGTAAGAAATATAACCTTTGGACGTGTAGACCTTGTAGTCCATTTCAGTTTGACTAATCAACATGTTCAGTTTATAACATGTTTGATCCTCTATATCTCTAAGAATATATGTGTTTTTGTGTGTGTACATATGTGTGTGTGTAGGCAGATTTTATTTAGTTGATATCATGGGGAAATCTGTTGCTCACATAGTTGACATTTCTTTATAAATGCAACTCACCTCATCAAAATGACATACCAAAAGAACTTTAAGAAACACATTTGTAAATGGCTTACATATTCTATGCTTTCTTAACCCAACCACAGTGTAAAAATAATTCTGAGTACTTTGGAACATAACCACAAACACTTATCAAATATATGCTCCCCAGTTTGCAATTGGGTCCCTATAAATCCACTGTAAGTTGAAAATATAGTTAAGTCGAAAATGCATTGAATACAGCTAGCCTACAGAACAGCATAGCTAAGCCTCACCTACCTTAAACATGCTCAGAACACTGACATTAGCTTAAAACAAGGCAAAATCATCTGGCAGCATGATCCACTATAGTGTATTGGTTGTTAACCCTCGTGATTGCGTGGGTGACTGGGAGCTTTGACCCACTTCTTCCTCCCAGCATGTGAGAAATTATGATAACACAGACTGCAAGCACAGAAAGAGATCAAAATTCAAAATTTGGAGTACAGTTTCTACCGAATGAGTATTGCTTTCACACCATTGTAAAGTCAAAATATCATAAGTTGAACCCTTGTAAGTTAGGGGTCATTTTTATGCTATTTTAATTATGATTGCAATGACCAATCAGGTCTGTGGAGCTGTTTTTTCCCACCACAAAATGGCTTAAGAGTGCTGTATTTTGCTATCTTTTCTTATTGATATTAGAATAACTTTTTGACTGTTGACACTTAAATTTAAAAGGGTTTCTAAAAATCAATGAGAAAGATTATGGAAGATGTGTTTGTATTAGAAGATGTAGCAAACTTCCATTTGAACAAAACTCTGCCCACCTTAAGAGTTTCTTCTGTGTTTATGATTAATTTGCTTCAAGATTTCTGTTTGTGGCTGTTGAGTTATCATTCTTTTTTTTTCTCAGTGTGCTCATTCCTTCATTCAGTCAGTTATTTTAAAAAATATTAATTTGTTGCACAAATGTAATATGTCTTTGTATAAGACAGACCTAAATTCAACTAAGGGACCCTATTTAAGAAGTTTGTGGAAATAGAAGTGTTTTTAAGGTCCATAAACATCAGTTTTCTCATTTGTAAAATAATTGGGGCAATAATACATGCTTGAGTTCATAGAAAGTACATAGCACAGTGAATAGCACAATTTGGGGGGTATTTAACAAATGTCAGTCATCTTTGCATTATCTTTGTATGAAATTAACATGTAATTCATAAGCAGTTTTAGGTATCTAGCATTTCCATTAGCTCCAGCGTCCAGTCAAAGCCCTCTGTTGGAATATCTTTGCAGCTACAGGAGTCTGACTTGATCAAATGTAACACTTTCATACCTGTGTCCCTCCCACCCTTTCATTTGCTTGACTGGCTTCTTTGTATCAGACTATGACTCAATGGATTTTTCCTTTTCTATTGCTGAAGAAAGCTCCATTTCCAAAAATTCCATTCAACAATTCACTACAGCAGACGACTTATAAAAGAGAAAATGAGATATCATCCTGTGTTTTCAAGAGTAGATAAAGAAGTAGTAGGGTTCTTGCACAGTCCCAGGGTTGATGGCAGAGTCTTCTTCCTGTTCAATGTCTCAAGTTTCATCTGTCCATCTCCTATTCATGCACACTGATGCCATCCTCTGCCATGCTCCCTCATCACACTTTTGCCACACGTGTCTGTCCTGAGGCATCTAATGTCTGTGGCAAGTAAAGTCTCAGAACCATACCATGAAGATCTATGGTGAATGAAATAATTAGGTAGATACTAAGACAGAGCATTTAAAATATATTCTCATATATTAATTCTCATTCTTAGCCATTAAAATATTTGTACTTCAAGTGTTCGGCTTGAGGTTGAAAAATCTGAAGGACTGACAGCATCTCTCATTATTTCTTTTGGGTAGTTAATAAATGCTTGGATTTCAGTTCTTGATAGGGACAAACGATATTTTGTTGATAATGGATCTTCACTTAAATCCCATCATGCAATTTACTCTCTACATCACAAACAACCATGCGAAGAAAGAAAAAGAATCAGTGATTTTTCTCTTCCCTCTAAGGAAGAGATTTTCATAGCGGAAACAAAGGGAATATTTTGGAAATTTACTGTGGTGATTTTCTGGATTATTATGAAGGGGGTGGTGGCTGTTGACATTTAGAGGGCGAAAATCGGAACCACTAGAACATCTTGCAATCTGCACGTCTGGCCTACCCTACAAAGAATTTCCCACCACCCAGTGACTGTAGGTTTGTGCAATTGCAAAATCTCTTTACAAATTTCTGAATCTGGAAACAAACTCAAATTTGTATGTAGATACAAAGTATATTGCATAGTTTTAATGTGCACTAATTTTCTAAATATAACTACAGTGTCAGTGGAGGAAACGTACTTTGCTCAGGTCACAACTGTTTTCACCATTTCAGAAAGTCACAGATACCAATGCTGCTCATGGTGTCTAAGTGGCACAAAGGGCACCTGTGTGTCAGCCTACATTTGTCGTTGTTATATTGAAGGTGATTCTAGGTGTGAGTAAAACATCTGACTACTTGATTATGTCTTCTAATGTGGTGGTGCTTGAATGTTTACATATCAATATATTATTCGTGTAGATCACTATCCTTTTATTGCATTGAAACAATGTTTAAATTTTGTGTGTAGATAGACTGTATTTTTTATGGATTTACTTCAGGCTGAGGGACAGATTGTTCTGGTAGCCATTTGTTACTTGGTTGTCAAGAAGCAAGCTAGGTTGATGGTGAAACACTATAAGAAATATAGTTTTCATTTTCTTTAACATTTGTATATAAGTGTTCTATATTTAAATAACAATTACATAATTAAAAGTTTTAGATTCACTTGTGAATTATTTATTAATTGTAAGATTGTACCTTTCAAGAAAACTCAACCTTATTTTTTCCTACTTTAGGTGGTTTTCTTTTCAAGCATTAAAAATAATGTTATTGAGTTCTATTGATGAAGTTAAAAATCTGATTTCCTTTTATTTTATAATTCATTAGGCATTATTACATTTTCACTAAAGTTGCAACTTGAAAATTCCTGTAAGACACGCATCATTCCATATAAGAAAAATGTAAAATTCAAATATTGTGCAACTCAAGGTAAATTTACAAAATAAATTTAGTAAGCATTATTAAAGACTCATAGCCTTTAGGTTACTAATATTTAATATTATAGTCCACCAGGAAAGATGATCTCAAAGAGGGCTCAGTATTGATTTGCTTGTTGGTATTTCAGAGATACTGACAGCTGCTATGACTTCTGCTGTTTTTTCTTAACTTTGCCCATACTGAGTTTGCTTTGTATTTCCTTGTTATTAACCCACATCTCACCATATTGCAATTAACTTTCACAATAAGCACTCCATTGAATATATTAGAAATATTTGCAATGTGAATAGAAACTCTTAATAAGAGCAGGCCTGCTGCTAGATGATAAGAGGTCTGCATGAATTAGAAAAAGTTGCCCTTCCATATCCTGAACAGATGTAGCCCCAAAGTTCAGGGGTTAGTGAAGAGAGGGCTTCTTTCTTCACTCCCCTCATTCTTTTCCTCTGGGGAGACACTGTCTTTCACAACTTCGTGGACAGCATGTGGACTAAATTTCAGACAGACACTTGCCCCTTCAGTGAGGCATCTTTGTGCAAGGTACAAACTTTATACACAGGCATGATGATCCCTAACACAAATGTGTCTATGAAAGAAAAGAGAAAAATAAAGAACACCCAAGTTTTCATGAAAGAGCAGTTATACAGGAATGAAAGAAGCTTTCTAACAAGAAGGAAACAGTTGAGAGGGAGGAATTAAAGATAGAAAAATCTATTGATAGCCAATCTAATTTCCCTGTTTTTAAAATTCAAGGGTGATTCACTCTACCACTTATGAGCAGAAAACAAACCTTAGAAATAGATTACATGATTACGATCTATGTAAACTTTCACTTCGTATTACCCTAATTGGGTTCTCTTCTAATTCTGTGTAAAATAATACATCTTTTGGTTTATGGTAAGAGAGAGCCATCCTACTATGACTGCCAAATTTTGATTATTCCCAAATTGAGAGACAGGAAGGAAAGTGTTTACATTTATCATATTGTAAAATTTGAAATATGTATTTATAGCCCATTTTAGAAATGTTTCAATGTAAGAAAATGACTTTTAAAAAGAAGTCCAATGTCTAGAAAGGCATCCAGTAGTTAGTATGACTGAAGTACATAGTTAGTTTCTTAAGAACTCTGCCTTTTTGGTATTTTTCCTTTTAGGGAATAAATAAAATCAAGCCTCTCAAATGATTTTCCAAATCCAGAGCCATGAAGTTACAGGATGATGGATTGCTAGGCTGCCATTGTTATCTGTGTCAATGGTGGTCTTGGAATCACTCTGTGTGGCTCTATGTTGTGGCCCTCTCTGCACCTCCTAAAGAATGACTTCATTGCTGTTTGACTTTTCAAATTTCCTTCCAAATTGAAAACTCAAGACATTTTTCTTCACATTTTATTTTCTTTTTATTATGCCAGTTTAAAAGTCTTTGAAAATAAAGAACTGAAACTCACCTTCTTCTGAAGTCGCAAGTGAGCAAACAGAAATAATGGATTGGACTTTGTTAATGATATGCCTAAAATTAGATGTTAAGTTATTAAAATTTTAGTTTTCCATGAATAAGGACAAAAACCTCATTTCTAAAACCTTGTCACATTTAAATTACGCTGTCTCATTTGAGTCTCCAGAAAATTATGTCCAGTCTTCTGATTGTCACTCCTATAAACTTATTTTTATTTAAATGACATAACCTCCAGAAGTATAAAATGTTGAAATTCTTTTCAGAATGACTTGCATTATAGCTTTTCCCTCCTGTGGTATTGAAATACTATGTTTCATATTAGAATGTTTTCAAATATCTACTCTCCTAAATAGATTAGTTAATGGTATTGTGTTTCCTGAAATAATCTGTGTAATGAATACGAACATTTCTACAATAAGTTTACAGTCTTCTTACTTTAGAGTATCATAGATCTAAATTCTAATTTATTTTTTTTTTTGAAATGGAGTCTCCTTCTGTCACCCAGGCTGGAGTACAGTGGCACAGTCTTGGCTCACTGCAACCTCTGCCTCCTGGGTTCAAGCGATTTTCCTGCTTCAGTCTCCCATGTAGCTGGGACTACAGGCATGTGCCACCATCCCAGGCTAATTTTTGTATTTTTAGTAGATATGGGTTTCACCATGTTGGCCAGGCTGGTCTTGAACTCCTGACTTCAGGTGATCCTCCCACCTCGGCCTCCCGATATGCTAGGATTACAGGTGTGAGCCACCATGCCCAGCCCTAATTTACTTTCAATAAGCAAAATTACACTTTGTGTCACACTTTCCCCACACACAAGCTTTTTGTGACTTCCTAAAATATTTATTTATTTATTTATTTATTTATTTTGAGATGGGGCCTGGCTTTGTTGCCCCAGCTGGAGTGCAGTAGTGTGATCTCAGCTCACTGCAAGCTCTGCCTGCCAGGCTTAAGTGATCCTCTCGCCTCAGCCCCTCAAGTAGCTGGAACCACAGGTGCGCACCAGCGTGCCTGGCTAATTTTCATATTTTGGTTAGAGAGGGGCTTTCACCACATTGCCCAGGCTGCTCTTGAACTCCTGAGCTCAAGCCTTCTGCCTGCTTCAGCCTCCAAAAGTGCTAGGATTATAGATGTGAGCTACTGCACCCTGAGACTTTTAATAAATTTAAAAAACAAAAAATAGAAAACAAACAACAACAACAAAAAATTTCATTCCTTCCTGTTCCCAGGCTAAAATTACTCTTTTGAGTTAGTGGATGAGTGTATGTGTAAAACTCTAGCTTACTTTGCTATTGCTGAATGGGCTGTTGTTATAGCCATTGTTATTCATTGACATTTCAGGGCTGAGACTATGTCATTCTAGAACTTCGACTCATACTCTCATGTTAATTTGGTATAAAAGAAACATAATGAAGAAAGTGTATTTATCTCATTATTATTTGTTGTGTTGTTTCTTCCTGCCTCTCTAAATCCCACTTTTTTGTACAACTAATTTTTTCTTTCATCAACTTTTCTATTAACAGCTTTTGACTTTATAACTGCAGCTAAATGGATGATAAAACAAAATAAGGTGTGACACAAAGAATGAAACAGTGAATGGAAGGGCTTAGGTATAATGGAAGGAAATGTCAGGAAGAAAGTCCCAGATGACTTTTCAAAACTTCAGGGTTGGCAGTAGCTCATGGTGGGAGAGATGTAACTCAGTTGATGGATTTGATGAATTTTGTCCAAACGTTGGAATTTGGACTGGTCAGATACAACAGAAAGCCCCCAGACAGTGACTCTGCAAAATAAATATACAAAATGTGATCCTGACATTCAGAAACTCATCTTTTTCTGAGATGCTTTAGGCCATTTTTCGTGATTGAAAGAAAGCGACAACAGCTCTATCCCCCGTGTCCATGATCAGAGAAAGAGAAAGAATGAAGATTCAAGGGCCGAAAGCGTGACCAGCTGAGTCACATTTGAAGCCTTCCTGAAAGCCTCACTCAGTGACTTCTCTTTAAACAGCTTTAGCTAGAATGATGGCACCTGGCCTCTCTTACTTCCAAATTAGACGAGAACATACTACATTTTAGCTGGGCACATTACTATCCCAAACCAAACTGGGGTGCTATTAGTAAGGAAGGAAAAGAGTAGATACTGGGCAGGCAATTAGAAATCTTTGCAGCAAGACATTCGGGAAAGGTATTATTTAGAAAAGTACCAAAGTCTTTTTGTGTCCTTGATGTGGATTGAATAGAGTGAGAAAAATTGCCTGTGTGCCGGTTTCCCAGTGGAGGTACATGGAGAAATAAGAATTGTTTCCTTCTGCATGGTAAGCAGCTCTCCTTGTCCAATTGTCCCCTATTACTGACCATGGTCCCACAGCAATATAGTTCTATTTCTAGGAATGGACTAGGAAAAAAATCCCAGAGGAGAAACTCCCACACTGATTTCTACTTCTAAAATTCAATGTATTTGTACCTCGCGTCTCTAGAAAAATTGTGTTTTAGTATATCAGCTTTTGAAGACAGCTGTACCTAAATCCAGCCATCCAAATGGGACAAAGGAAGCAGACTTTCACCTTCAGAAGCAGCCATGAGTTTGTGTCTGCTGCATTGCACTTTCAATATCTAGGACAGAATTTCATACTTATTATATAATTACAGTAATACAATTTGTTATTAAATAGTTGCCAAACAAAATAGAAATACAATAAAAATTTAAACCACTAACCTTTAAATGATATATTTTGTTTTAAGAATATTGTTCAGCTCAGATATCAGCAGATTAATGATGAGTACAACTAAACCCCAATCAGTTGAAAGAAATGTATAACATATCATTTTAAGATCTCTGTAGTAATTTATTTTTTAAAAGGAACTTAATATCGTGGATTTTAAATAATTGAAAATATTTTTTACACTTGGACTAAATGTTCAGATGATTTTTATTATGCAAACATCACATCTAATTAAAGATATTTCAATATTATATTTCAAGACATTCAGTAACCATTCATTAAGGGCTGAATATTATATAGTGGGATAAACTAAGGCCATAGAATATTTATGTCCCCAGCCATAGGAAGTTCGCCATTTATTGGAGGAGATAAACACACACATAACTGAATTTGGTTTTGATCTTCCTCTGACCTATTCTATTAATTCAATAATGTAGGCCTAATCATTATTGATATACTTTATTCTTGTCAAGATTTGCCACATTATTTGCCTTGAAGTTATTTATTGCAAAGGGATTTGTTCTCTTTAATGGATGGCTCTGCATTTTAGCATATGCGTTTGTCTTTGAGAAACCACCAAGACCACCAGGCTAAGACATTGAATAATTAACTTGACATAATATTTATAAAGTAGTGAGCTAGAAAGTTTTGAAAGATTCTATTAATAAAAATGGTTCATCAAATTTCGGGGGCAAATGCCTTAAACATTTATTAATAGCTAAACAATATATGAACTTTTCCTGAGGAAGAAAACATTTCTTCCTAAGTAGTTTCTAAGTAGTAAAGTCTAATCCAGATCTTGTTATATGCACTGTAGAGTTCTTTTTTCAGAAAACAACATTGCATAGTCTATATTTCTTTTTATAGGACAGGCAGCTGCGTTAGTGAATGATTCACTAATGGTGCGAAGTCTTTCTGTCAAACAAACACACAGTTCACTTAGTTGGGCTTCAAGTACTTTAGTTTTTTTCCTAAACAATAACTGTCTTTAAAAGAAAGAAGCTGTGTAAACATTGAATACAGACTTTAATTTAAGACAGATGATAACCCGGAAGTGACCACTTCTCTTTATCATCAAAATACCGCTGAAGCCCCAGTGATTCAATTGCCAGGAATTCTTCTTTGCTTGAATTTGATCATTCTTCTTTCTCTTTAAAATACTGTTGTTAAGCACTGGATCGGCAATGTGGCATTGTCTCTAGGGATTGAATTATGTTTAATTGGGAAGGAAGCACACTCTCTCTTGTTTTTAGTTCATAAAGTAAGAAGACTATCAATTAGTAGGCAGTGCAGCCCAATTGGAGCCACGCTGCACTACAGACAGTTTGGAGGAGATTCATAGTAACAAACAAGATTTAAAATACATGTCTTGTGAAAGGCCATTATAGGTGGATGGCTGGGTTTTTCCTGTCTTTTCATGCTGTAGCAGCATTATATTAGAATGTGAAGGACACTCATATCCATAAAATAATGGCTTTCGTAATGCAGATGATTAAAGTAGGAAGCCTACCCACTTCTATTTTTCCCTAGGCATATACCAGGATCAAATTTCAATTAGTGACCTAGGAACTGCAGGCTCTGTATTCTGTTATCAATCCCTTTAGCCAGCTAGAATCAAAGATTCACCTGTCACTCTAGACTCTCAGTGACTCTAAGGAGGATTTAGAATAGACATCTGCTCTATCCTGTTACGTTGACTTCTTTATACTGTCTGTCTACAAAATGCATTATGAATATACAGTGAACATTACAAATATTCTAAGGTCCATTAGGAAATTTCATTTTCTGTGGACAAGGATTTTAATGTTAAATATTGATAGTGATTTCTGCTAATTTATTGTTGATTTGCTAAACCAGGCCATTTTACGGAAAAATTTTAAATATGCCCTGTTGATCAGGAACCAATATATATATTTTTCAAAGTGTCAGAATGGTTACCTTGAAATCATTTTTAGATATGAATTGCAGAATTCCTAGAAAGAAAATATGCTCTCTTATAGGACTGTGCTTTATCAGGAAATGGCAGGTTATCTAGTTATATTTTAAAGATACCAAATTTGTTTAGTGCAGATTTTACTTCTATAGTGCTCACCTTGATGAGCATCACAATGATGTTCTTTTATTTTTAAAATGATGCATTATAATCCCATTAGAGCCTTTGCCAACCAGTAAATTATTAATAAGACGATGATCATGCTAATTAAGCTACTTTATTAGATTTTGATGGATTTTGTGCCAGAAATTATGGTGGGGTCTTTGAAATATATAGAGTATTTTCTCTTAGAGCAAGTCGTCTAGCATCATTGAAAACTTTACTGAAAACTCTTCATTACTCATAACATTGCTCGTCTGTTTCAAAATGACACGATAGTCACTTTCACAGAAACATAATAGTATGCAATTCAAATGTTTAATTTGCTGCTGCAAAAGAATTCACAATAGAATTCTCAATGTGGGGTTAATTACATAGTAATGAAAGAGTAAACCTATTGGGAAAATGCTCTAAGTAACATTGCTCTGTTTCCTACTGATAAAGACGTGCACGCCTGATTTATTTTTTATGCTGGGAAATTCAGAAGTAAGAGAAAACCTTGAAAAGGTATGCACATGAATAATAAAGTTTTTTATCATTTGTCAACATGATGAGAAAATGATGAACGTGGATAATTATTATATTACAAAGGCTATAATCACAAAATAGTAATGTATAAGAATATAGCATTCTATTATACACAGGAGAACATGATACATTAAAATCATTGATAACATAATCTAAGGAAAGACATCGCTAATCAGAACAAAAAAAGGAAGAAGTAATAGAGCAGGCACTCAAAATTGTGTCCATGTTTTCTACAAATAATCTTCACCCTCTCTGCCTATGAGTATAGTGTTATATTGCTAGGTATGTTATGTTTACTCCATATATGTCAAAGACTCCACTGGGGGAATTGAACAATGAGAACACTTGGACACAGGAAGGGGAACATCACACACCGGGGCCTGTTGTGGGGTGGGGGGATGGGGGAGGGAAGGCATTAGGAGATACACCTAATGTAAATGACGAGTTAATGGGTGCAGCACACCAACATGGCACATGTATACATATGTAACAAACCTGCATGTTGTGCACATGTACCCTAGATCTTAAAGTATAATAATAATAAAAAATTTGGACCACAAAAAAAAATATGGTATCTTAATAAATATCTCAAAACAGTTATAAGATTGACAATATGATCCCTACTTTGTTAGGTGAAGAAAATGACACTTTTAAAAACATAAAAAGATTTCCTGTATGATAGGATTCAAATTCATATTTGTTTGTTTCCAAGGGCTTTTTCTCATTCATTATCCTATGCTGTCATGTAAATTAATCCATGAATATTGCAGCTTGTATCAGAAGCTTGAAAGTTCACAGAAAGAATCATTTTCTACCTAAATTTGCCCATCAAATTTGGGTGGACAGTGACAGCAGCACAGTGTTAGGCTTACTTTTAAATGACATTATTTAGGATAGTGAGAGGATAAACAAATAGACTAAAAGAACAGAACGGAGTCCAGAACTAGATCCACGCAGATATGGCCAATTGATCTTCCAAAAAGGCACCAAAGTGATGTAATGGAGAAAGGAAAATTGTTTTAACCACCAGACCTAGAAAACTTGGTATCCATATAGGAAAAAAATAAATCTTGATACTTCATACCATACACACAAAAGTAATTATAGATGGCACATAGACCTAAATATAAAATCTTAAGCTCAAAAGTTTCTAGAAGAAAATATAGAAGAATATTTCCTGGACCTGAGCTAGGCAAAGATTTCATAGAAACACACAAACAGCATTAGCCACAAAGAAAAAAAAAAAAAAAAAAAGACCAGTCAGGCTTCATGAAAAACAAAACAAGGAAAACCTGTGCTCTTCAGAATTAAACAAACAAACAAAAACACTAAGAGAATGAAAAAGCTAAGCTATGGGAGAAAATATTCACACTATATATCTTTGACAAAGCAGTTGTACCCAGCATATATAAAGATGTCATACGAATCAATTGTAAACAGACAACACAGTAAAAATGGGGGAAAGATTTGCACTGTTTACAAAGATAAATGTCTGATAAGCACAAAACATTTAATGTAATAAGTTATTAGCTAAATGTAAATTAAAAGCAAAATCAAATACTATTGCACACTCACTAGAATTGCTAAAATTACAAAAGATTAACAATACCAATTGTTGGTGAAGAGGTGAAGTAACTAAACTCACATACTCTGCTGGTTGGAATGAAAAATCATGTAACTTTGAGAATCTCTTGGGTAATAACTGACAAAGTTGAGCATATAGTCACCCTATGACACATCAGTTTCACTTCTAAGTATTTACTCTGTAGAAATAAAAACATGTTTACAACAGGACTTGTAAAAATATGTTTTTAATAACTGTTTACAGAGAGCCAGAATATATTGCCTAACATTATTTTTATATATAAAGGTTACAGATTTTTTATATTAATTTTATATCTTTGTAGATTTTTTATTTCTTTTATTTTAATCTTTAGATCTACTACTATATCACCTACATAGGGGCAATTTAACTCCTCTAATTCTTATATTTCTGATTTTGATTCTATAATTCCTTTTATTAATACTCTCAATAGAACATTAAATAGTATTGTTGATAGTGGCCCAACTTTAGGTAGAAATCTACTACATTTTTTGAATTGATGAATGAAAAATTATTTTAGACAATGTGGAATGAGTCAATAATGCTTATTACCATATATATATCACCACTAATCTTTATTATTTTTTGTAATGAGAATATTTAAGATTTACTCTCTTATTAGTCCGTTTTCACACTGCTATAAAGAAAAAACTGCCCAATACAGGGTAATTTATAAAGGAAAGAAGTTTAATTGATACTCTATTGAGCATGGCTGAAGAGGCCTCAGGAAACTTACAGTCATGGCTGAAGGCGAAGAGGAAGCAAGGCACCTTCATCACAAGGTGGCAGGAAGGAGAAGTGTGTGAGAGTGCAGGAAAAATCTACCATTTGTAAAACCATCACATTTCATGAGAATTCATCCACTATCATGAGAACTGCATGGAGGAAACCACCCCCATAATCCAGTCACTTCCCACCAGGTTTCTTCCTCAACATCCGGGGATTACAATTCAAGATGAGATTTGGGTGGGGACACTAAGCCTAACCATATCATTCTCTTAGCAGTTTTCAACTATGCAATACATTATTATTAACTCTGGTCATCATACTGTACAATACATTGTGAGTATGTGAATATAGTACTCGTACTTATTCTTCCTGTACTAACTCAAACCTTGTACCCTTTAATCAATATTCCTCCATTTGGTGCCACCCACCCAATACATAGTAACCACCATTCTACTCTCTGCTTTATGAATTCAATTTTTTTTTTACATTTTATATATAAATGAGATCATGTGGTTTTTGTCTTCCTGTGCCTGGATTATTTCCCTTAGCATAATGTTCTCTAGGCTAATCTGTGTGTTCATTGAAGCGTTATTTGCAATAGCCAAAATATCGAATGCAATGTAAGTGTCCATCACTGATGAATGGACAAAGAAAACGTGATATATATATATATATATATATATATATATATATATATATATATATGTATATATATATATATGTATATATATATATATGTATATATATATATGCGCAATGGAATACTATTCAGCCTTTTTTAAAAATGGAGGAAATATTTTGAGAACAGTCATCTACAAATTTTATTTTACCATCATTGTTTAATTTACATTATTACTTAGAATAGCTATCATCAGAAAGACAAAAGATAATAAGTCTTGGCAAGGATGTGGCAAAAAGGAAACTCTCAAACGCTGTTGGGAATGTAAATTAGCTCAGCCATTGAGGGAAACAGTATGGAGGTTACTCAGAAAATTAAAAAAAGAACTACCATATGATTCAGCAATGTCACTACTGAGTATATAGTCAAAGGAAATAAAATCAGTATGTTGAAAAGATATTTGTACTTTTATATTTATTGCAGTATTATTCACTATAGCCAAGATATGGAATCAATCTATGTGTCCATCAATAGATGACTGGATAAAGAAAATGTGATGTATATACACAATGGAATACAATTTGAACATTAAAAATAATGAAATCCTGTCATTTTCAATAATATACCTGAACCTGGAGGAAATTATGTTAAATGAAATAAGCCAGACATAGAAAGACAATCACTGCATTATCTCACTCATATGTAGAATGTAAAGAAGTTGCTGTCATAGAAGTAATGAGCAAAAGCTGTGTTTACAGGCGAGGGATGGTTGGGGTACTGTGGAGACTGGGGAGATACTGATCAAAGGATACAAAATTTCAGTTAGATGGGATGAATAAGCCCAAGGGGTCTATTGTACAACGTGGTAGCTATAGTTAACAATATATTGCATTCTTGAAAAATGTTGAGGATGGATATAAGGTGTTTTCACCAGAAAAAGAATAATTATGTGAAGTTATCCATATGTTACCCAGCTGGATGTAGTCATTCCACCATGTATATATATTTAGAACATCATCTTGTACTGTGCATGGTAAATACATACAATTATATCTGTCAGTTTAAAATAAGATAAAATAAAATAATATAATTACTTTAAAGCTTGTGAAGGAGTCACCACATGGACAATATAACAGAAAATCTCTGCTAGATTGAACTTTGTGATGAACACGAAGTACTTAATAAACATATTTCTTTGATCTGTCTATGCATGGATCAATCTGTTCCTGTTGAGGACCTTATAACTTCCTACTGCTCACTCAACAGGAAATTGTTCTGAAAGTGCTCTACCCATCAACCTTCAATATAAAAATATACATTTTATGATTTACTCCCAGAGTTTTGCAGTGGCACAACTTTACACAACAAATTTGATCAAAATAGAAATACTTCAATCAATTTTCTTTGGCGTAAGTCACCTTGGTACTTGTCCTCATAGGGTTTCGTGTATTTCACATTGAGTTGCATCATAGTAAAATCAAGGTGTATATCATTCCTATTTCCATTTCACAAATTATGGAAATGTTTCATGTTACTGGTTTTGTTTTGCTATTTATTTCAGTGTTGCTTCATGGAAAATTGAACATAGTAATTAAAAATGACAAAATTTTAAAAATCTATCATCTTGAAATTTGTACAATGTTTTCATGACATTATTAACAAAACTAATTATCGAGTACAGTTACACGTTCCAACCAGAGCTATGTTGAACTAGAGTACACAGGAGAGCTTTTTAGTATGAACTGATACTCACACGTAAGAATTGCTTATATTTTAGGAAGCGTGGCCAAATTTCTATATGAAACATCCACTTTTACAAAGTCTGACTGTATTGTTGTTTATTTGGAAATAGTAGTCAAACTGTAACAAAGGTGGAAAATCTTTTGCACGGCTGTTGAGAAATGGGTGGATCACGTAGAATAAGGCTTACAAAACCACTAGTGGGTTAGCAGCCCCAAACATCTGAGACTATCAGTACAAGGAAGAAATCTCTATTTCTGTAGCCTCTGATTTGCTCTATCTCATATGGAGGGCCTAATGAAGGAAAGAAACTGCATTCTAAATGATGCAGAGCAAATACCCTAAAAGGGAAGTGCTTGGATCTTTATTACTTTGGAGACCTAAAAGACAATGTACTTTGAAGTTAGTTTCTTCTGGTTAATCTCTTTTACTTGATGTAGACACATTACATAAATCCATTGTCGTATGAATAATACGTAACAGCAATAATCTATTATCATAATGTTTTTAGGTATTCATAAAGTACATTTTCTATGTCTAAAGGAAAAGTAGCAGATTATTAAACTTCCAGTTTTATTTTATGATCTGCTCTGCCTCTTCAATTCATTCCACCTTTTTGTTTTGTTTTGTTTTTTAAATACATTCATATGAATGTATTTTTCAATTTCTTACCAAAGAAGCAATTTGGAAAACACTGATTGTTCATTTCCCTTTTACCTCCTTGTTTCAATTTATGTTTTGAGTACAGTACATTAGTTTATAGAGACTGTGATTGAAAAAAAAGAGCTTACAATCTTCCTCAGATAGCTTTGCTCTGAGTTTTACAATGGATGGTTTGGAAAAATAGTGTAATAATGACTGAGCTTCTAAAATAGTGAAGTAACAGTTATTTTTGTGATGTAATATAGTGATGTATATGTGGCTCAAAAGGGTTGCTATATATTCCCCCCAACTCCAATTTTATTTTTAATTTTTGGTTGTTTTTCAGTTTTATGCAAGACTTGCTATACCTAATTCTACAAGCTATACAGTGTTTTTTAATATTGATTCCAGAATTTGTTTCATCATATGCACCAGAACAAATACTTCAGTAAAACTTCTTCTGCACTTTCTTAGACAAAGACAGCATGATACAGGCACAGCTAAGTCTCTTAAGCTCTTAGGTATCCTTAAAACATTGACAAGGAAGTCAATATTGAATTTCAGATAACAACTGGAATTTTGACAGTACTCATTAGTTAGTTTGGTCTGACCCAGGCTTCCATCAGTGCAAACTTTATGCCCCAAGAGTCTCACAAAGCATTTACAGCATATGCTACAGAAACATAGAAAGGGAGCAGGCAACTGGCAGAGTATGGGCATGAGGCTGACAGCTCAGAGATGCCACTGGACCTGCCTCATCAGCTCTCTGGGCACTACTCACTCTTCTGAAAGTATTTGAAACCTTTTGGGCTGTTACTTTACACCTGGTAAAAAGCATCTATAGACCAGAAGAACCTGGGAAGAGGGTATTCCTTCCCTTCAGAGCCAAAACAGAGAGTTTTATACTCTTCAGGGGGTTTCCTTCACAAGACAGTTACTCACAAATCAACGATATTGAAATTGTATATCTGGGATTTGCCCTCTACTGTCACTCATATTGTTCATAAGAACAGGAACAGATAATATTTATTGGTTTGCAACCACACATAGATATAAACTCTAATTGCTTCAACAGAGTTTTATGGTAAGAATTGTTTAGTACTACCATTTCACAGATGAGAAAATTGAGGCTTTGAAAGCCTGAATAATTTGTGAAAAGATACAAAGCTCCTATGTGGTCAGACTGGAATTTTAATCTACTTGTACCTGACATTGGATCCTAGACTCTTCAATAGGTTACACTTCCTTCGAACTGGGAAAAGGTAGCACAAATCATTTATTTTTAAATCACCGATACTAGTTTTGTTGTTTAAGGCATTTAATCTAAGTTGACTTCCCCAAAGGACTGTGCAGATGTTTTCTCAAATTAAAGTGATATTTCAGAACAACAAGTACTAGAAAATTTAATTCAACTAAACAGTAAATTCTAGAAACTGGGGGATCTTTTGGCCTCTCATACAATTTTATTCGTATAACTATGTGTCCCGGCCAGTCATGATAACATATACTTGTTCAATTGATAAAAACTGAACTGAATTCAAGTCATAGACTTACTGTAGAGGCTTGGGCACATTTGCAGAATATACACTTGGAATATGCAATGAGGAATAGAGGTTAAGAAGAAAGGAAATAAGTAATTACATAAGTAATAATTATATAGTAATTACATAAGTAAATACAATTATAAATAATTGCATAAAACAATATCATTATTATTATTATTATTATTATTATTATTCGAAATGGAGTCTCGCTCTTGTCGCCCAGGCTGAAGTGCAATGGCGGGATCTTGGCTCACTACAACCTCCTCCTCCCAGGTTCAAGTGATTCTCCTGCCTCAACCTCCCAAGTAGCTGGGATTACAGGTGCCCACCACCATGCCTGACTAATTTTTTTTTGTATTTTTAGTTAAGATGGGGTTTCACCATGTTGGTCAGGCTGGTCTCAAACTCCTGGCCTCAGGTGATCCTCCCACCTCGGCCTCCCAAAGTGCTGGGATTACAGGCGTGAGCCACTACACTTGGGCGACAATATCATTATTATAAATACAGAAAATTCCTGTTTTTTTATATCAGTCATCCTAGAACAGAGACGCTATCAGCTCCTGGGGATAACTCTTCCCACATCGTCTGGAACATAATTATATTTAATTAAAACCTGAAGTGGTATCTAAAGATAATGACAAAGTATTAAATGTGCAGAGGGTTTCAGTCTCTCAAACAAATGTGAGTTTGTTACTATGTTATGTACCATAGTAGTCTAAGGGCTATTATGTTGTTTCTTACATTAGTGTAACCATGGTGAAAACCAAAGAGAAAATAAAGAATGATTGTTCATGTTTTAATGTATAAGAGCACATTGATACATTGTAAAACACCCAGATCAGTTATTTAATCCATCTTTTGAAATCACAGAAGAAAACTGGTGATATACATGTGATGAGGAATGGCAACTGTAGTGATTTATATTCCTCTAATTTTTTGCAAAAAAAAGAAAGTTCACTGAAAAAATTACAACTTTCGCCTATGCTAAACTTAATTTATGTAAAATAGTGGTCACAGCTATTAAATTATTGTTATTTATTCACAAAGTTCTCCTCTACATATTGTTTTAAAGTAATAACTGCTTTACAGCATTTTTTTTTAAATGGAGTCTCACTCTGTCACCAAGGCTGGAGTGCAGTGGCACAATTTCGGCTCACTATAACCTCTGCCTCCAGGGTTCAAGTGACTCTCCTGCCTCAGCCTCCTGAGTAGCTGGGATTACAGGCACCTGCCCCACACCTGGCTAATTTTTGTATTTTTAGTAAAAACAGGTTTCACCATGTTGGCCAGGCTGGTCTCAAGCTCTGGACCTCAGATAATCCACCCGCCTCGACCTCCCAAAAGTTCTGGGATTACAGGCATCAGCCACTGCGCCCAGCTGCTTTACAGCATTTTTATAGACGCTCTTCTTTGAACTTACTAAGAGTTCATTGAAATCAGCTGTGCAGAGTTTAAATCCAGCAAGGAAATTCAGGCACAGACAGGTTGGAGGTAACAAAAAGTAAAACTGGAAAGTGAATCAAATTTTGGCTGAAAATTTAATATATTTAATAGTATGTATGATTCCTCAATCTAACTTAGGTTAAAATAATCAAAAATAAAATAAGGTGAACTACTTTTTTTTTAATGGGCAAGGTGGCAGAAATGGAATTTCCAAACATCTAGATCTTAGGTCTTTATTATTCTAAGCAATTTTTAATACAATTTGAGAATCTTTATTTCTGTACTCTTCTTCAATAATAACATTAAAGCAGAAGGAGGTTCCAAGATGGCCGAATAAGAACAGCTCCAGTCTGCAGCTCCCAGCGTGAGCAACGCAGAAGATGGGTGATTTCTGCATTTCCAGCTGAAGTACCGGCTTCATCTCACTGGGGCTTGTCAGACGGTAGGTGCAGCCCACAGAGCAGGGTGGGACATTGCCTCATTTGGGAAGCACAAGGGGTCAAGGAATTCCCTTTCCTAGCAAAGGGAAGCCATGACAGATGGTACCTGGAAAACTGGGACACTCCCACTCTAATACAGCGCTTTTCCAATGGCCTTAGGAAATGGCACACCAGGACATTATATCCCGTGCATGGCTTGGAGGGTCCCATGCCCACAGAGCCTCACTCACTGCTAGCACAGCAGTCTGAGATCCAACTGCAAGGTGGCAGCGAGACTGGGGGAGGGGCGTCTGCCACTGCTGAGGCTTGAGTAGGTAAACAAAGTGGCCAGGAAGCTTGAACTGGGTGGAGCCCACTGCAGATCAAGGAGGCCTGCCTGCCTCTGTAGACTCCACTTCTGGGGGCAGGGCATAGTTGAACAAAAGGCAGCAGAAACTTCTGCAGACTTAAACTTCCCTGTCTGACAGCTTTGAAGAGAGTAGTGGTTCTCCCAGCATGGAGTTTGAGATCTGAGAATGGATAGACTGCCTCCTTAAGTGGGTCTCTGACCCCCGAGTAGCCTAACTAGGAGACACCTCCCAGTAGGGGCCAACTGACACCTCATACAGCCGGGTGCCCCTCTGAGTCGAAACTTCCAGAGGAAAGATCAGGCAGCAACATCTGCTGTTCTGCAATATTTGCTGTTCTTCAGCCTCTGCTGGTGATACCCAGGCAAACAGGTTGTGGAGTGGACCTCCAGCAAACTCCAACAGACCAGCACCTGAGGGTCCTGACTGTTAGAAAGAAAAGTAACAAACAGAAAGGACACCCACACCAAAACCCTATCTGTATGTCACCATCATCAAAGACCAAAGGTAGATAAAACCACAAAGATGGGAAGAAGCCAGAGCAGGAAAGCTGAAAATTCTAAAAATCAGAGCGCCTCTTCTCCTCCAAAGGAACGCAGCTCCTTGCCAGCAATGGGACAAAGCTGGATGGAGAATGACTTTGATGAGTTTAGAGAAGAACGCTTCAGAGGATCGGTAATAACAAACTTCTCTGAGCTAAAGGAGGATGTTAGAACTCATCGCAAAGAAGCTAAAAACCTTGAAAAAAGATTAAACGAATGGCTAACTAGAATAAACAGTGTAGAGAAGTCCTTAAATGACCTGATGAAGCTGAAAACCACGGCATGAGAACTATGTGACGCATGTGCAAGCTTCAGTAGCCAATTCAATCAAGTGGAAGAAAGGGTACCAGTGATTGAAGATCAAATGAATGAAATGAAGCAAGAAGAGAAGTTTAGGGAAAAAAGAGTAAACAGAAATGAACAAAGCTTCCAAGAAATATGGGACTATGTGAAAAGACCAAATCTACGTCTGACTGGTGTACCTGAAAATGACAGGGAGAATGGAACCAAGTTGGAAAACACTTCTGGATATTATCCAGGAGAACTTCCCCAAACTAATGAGGCAGGCCAACATTCAACTTCAGGAAATACAGAGAATGCTACAAAGATACTCCTCAAGAAGAGCAACTCCAAGATACATAATTGTCAGATTCACCAAAGTTGAAATGAAGGAAAAAATGTTAAGGGCAGCCAGAGAGAAAGGTCGGGTTACCCACAAAGGGAAGCCCATGAGACTAACAGCAGATCTCTCGACAGAAACTCTACAAGCCAGAAGGGAGTGGGGGCCAGTATTCAACATTCTAAAGAAAAGAATTTTCAACCCAGAATTTCATATCCAGCCAAACTAAGCTTCATAAGTGAAGGAGAAATAAAATCCTTTACAGACAAAGAAATGCTGAGAGACTTTGTCACCACCAGGCCTGCCTTACAAGAGCTCCTGAAGGAAGCGCTAAACATGGAAAGGAACAACCAGTACCAGCCACTGCAAAAATATGCCAAATTGTAAAGACCATCAATGCTAGGAAGAAACTGCATCAACTAATGAGCAAAATAACCAGCTAACATCATAATGACAGAATCAAATTCACACATAACAATATTAACCTTAAATGTAGATGGGCTAAGTGCTCCAATTAAAAGACACAGACTGGCAAATTGGATAAAGAGTCAAGACCCATCAGTGTGCTGTATTCAGGAGACCCACCTCACATGCAGAGACACACATAGGCTCAAAATAAAGGGATGGAGGAAGATCTACCAAGCAAATGGAAAACAAAAAAAAGCAGGGGTTGCAATCTTAGTCTCTGATAAAACTGACTTTAAACCAAAAAAGATTGAAAGAGACAAAGAAGGCCATTAATAATGGTAAAGGGATCAATTCAACAAGAAGAGCTAACTATCCTAAATATATATGCACCCAATACAGGAGCACACAGATTCATAAAACAAGTCCTTAGATACATACAACGAGACTTAGACTCCCACACAATAATTATGGGAGATTTTAACACCCCACTGTCAACATTAGACAGATCAATGAGACAGAAAGTTAACAAGGATATCCAGGAATTGAACTCAGCTCTGCACCAAGCAGACCTAATAGACATCTACAGAACTCTCCACCCCAGATCAAAAGAATACACATTCTTCTCAGTGCCACATCACACTTATTCCAAAATTGATCACACAGTTTGAAGTAAAGCACTCCTCATTAGAATCAAACTAGAACTCAGGATTAAGAAACTCACTCCAAACTAAACAACTACGTGGAGACTGAACAACCTGCTCCTGAATGACTACTGAGCACATAACAAAATGAAGGCAGAAATAAAGATGTTATTTGAAACCAATGAGAACAAAGACACAACATACCAGAATCTCTGGGACACATTTAAAGCAGTGTGTGCAGGGAAATTTATAGTACTAAGTGCCCACAAGAGAAAGCAGGAAAAATCTAAAATTGACACCCTAACATCACAATTAAAAGAACTAGAAAAGCACGAGCAAACACATTCAAAAGCTAGCAGAAGGCAAGAAATAACCAAGATCAGAGCAGAAATGAAGGTGATAGAGACACAAAAAACCCTTCAAAAAATCAATGAATCCAGGAGCTGGCTTTTTGAAAAGATCAACAAAATTGATAGACTGCTAGCAAGACTGCTAGCAAGGCTAATAAAGAAGAAAAGAGAGAAGAATCAAATAGATGCAATAAAAAATGATAATGGGGATATCATTGATCTCACAGAAATGCAAACTATGATCAGAGAATACTACAAACATCTCCACGCAAATAAACTAGAATATCTAGCAGAAATGGATAAACTCCTGGACACATATACCCTCCCAAGACTTAACCAAGAAGAAGTTGAATCCCTGAATAGACCAATAACAGGTTCTGAAATTCAGGCAATAATTAATAGCCTACCAACCAAAAAAAGTCCAGGACCAGATGGATTCACAGCCAAATTCTACCAGAGGTACAAAGAGGATCTGGTACCATTCCTTCTGAAACTATTCCAATCAACAGAAAAAGAGGGAATCCTCCCTAATTCATTTTTTGAGGCCAACATCATCCTGATACCAAAGCCTGGCACAGACACAACAAAAAAAGAGAATTTTAGACCAATATCTCTGATGAATATCGATGCAAAAATCCTCAATAAAATACTGGGAACCCGAATCCAGCAGCACATCAAAAAGCTTATCCACCAGGATCAAGTTGGCTTCATCCCTGGGATGCAAGGCTGGTTCAACATACACAAATCAATAAACATAATCCATCGTATAAACGGAACTAAAGACAAAAAACACGTTTATCTCAATAGATGCAGAAAAGGCCTTTGACAAAATTCAACAGCCCTTCATGCTAAAAACTCTCAATAAACTAGGTATTGATGGGACGTATCTCAAAATAATAAGAGCTATGTATGACAAAGCCACAGCCAGTATCATACTGAATGCGCAAAAACTTGAAGCATTCCCTTTGAAAACTGGCACAAGGCAGCTATGCCCTCTCTCACCACTCCTATTCAACATATTGTTGGAAGTTCTGGCCAGGGCAATCAGGCAAGAGAAAGAAATAAAGGGTATTCAATTAGGAAAAGAGGAAGTCAAATTGTCCCTGTTTGCAGATGTAAAATACCTAGGATTCCAACTTGCAAGAGATGTTAAGGACCTATTCAAGGAGAACTACAAACCACTGCTCAACGAAATAAAAGAGGACACAAACAAATTGAAGAACATTTCATGCTCATGGATAGGAAGAATCAATATTGTGAAAATGGCCATACTACCCAAGGTAATTTATAGATTCAATGGCATCACCATCAAGCTACCAATGCCTTTCTTCACAGAATTGGAAAAAACTACTTTAAAGTTCATATGGAACCAAAAAGAGCCCGCATTGCCAAGACAATCCTAAGCCTAAAGAACAAAGCTGGATGCATCACGCTACCTGACTTCAAACTATACTGCAAGGCTACAGTAACCAAAACAGCATGGTACTGGTACCAAAACAGAGATATAGACCAATGGAACACAATAGAGCCCTCAGAAATAATACCACACATCTACAACCATCTGATCTTTGACAAACCTGACAAAAACGAGAAATGGGGAAAGGATTCCCTATTTAATAAATGGTGCTGGGAAAACTGGCTAGCCATATGTAGAAAGCTGAAACTGGATCCCTTCCTTACACCTTATACAAAAATTAATTCAAGATGGATTAAAGACTTAAATGTTAGACCTAAAACCATAAAAACCCTAGAAGAAAACCTAAGCAATACCATTCAGGACATAGGCATGGGCAAGGGCTTCATGACTAAAACACCAAAAGCAATGGCAACAAAAGACAAAATTGACAAATAGGATCTAATTAAACTAAAGAGCTTCTGCACAGCAAAATAAACTACCATCAGAGTGAACAGGCAAGCTACAGAATGGGAGAAAATTTATACAATCTACCCATCTGACAAAGGGCTAATATCCAGAATCTACAAAGAACAAATTTACAAGAAAAAATCAAACAACCCCATCAAAAAGTGGGCAAAGGATATGAACAGACACTTCTCAAAAGAAGACGTTTATGCAGCCAACAGACACATGAAAAAATGCTCATCATCACTGGCCATGAGAGAAATGCAAATCAAAACCACAATGAGATACCATCTCACACCAGTTAGAATGGTGATCATTAAAAAGTCAGGAAACAACAGGTGCTGTAGAGGATGTGGAGAAATAGGAATGCTTTTACACTATTGGTGGGACTGTAAACTAGTTCAACCATTGTGGAAGACAGTGTGGTGATTCCTCAAGGATCTAGAACTAGAAATACCATTTGACCCAGCAATCCCATTACTGGGTATATACCCAAAGTATTATAAATCATGCTGCTATAAAGACACATGCTCACACATGTTTATTGCACCACTATTCACAATAGCAAAGACTTGGAACCAATCCAAATGTCCATCAGTGATAGACTGAATTAAGAAAATGTGGCACATATACACCATGGAATCCTATGCAGCCATAAAAAAGGATGAGTTCATGTCCTTTGAAGGGACATGGATGAAGCTGGAAACCATCGTTCTCAGCAAACTATCACAAGGACAAAAAACCAAACACCGCATGTTCTCACTCATAGGTGGGAATTGAACAATGAGAACACTTGGACACAGGGTGGGGAACATCACACACTGGGGTCTGTTGGGGGTTTGGGGGAGAGAGGAGGGATAACATTGTGAGATATACCTGATGTAAATGACCAGTTAACGGGTGCAGCACACCAACATGGCACATTTACACATACGTAACAAACCTGCACGTTGTGCACATGTACCCTAGAACTTAAAGTATAATAATAAAAAAATTAAAAATAAAAATAACATTAAAGCAATTGAATGTACATAATAATCAGTGACAATTTTCTAGTATAAAATTTTCTTTGTTACATTCTTCATCAGTTCTCAAAATATCATCTAAAAGGAAAGGGTGAGCCAGACGAGGTGGCTCACACCTGTAATCCGAGCATTTTGGGAGGTTGAGGTGGGAGGATCACCTGAGGTCAGGAGTTCAAGACCAGCCTGGCCAACATGGTGAAACTCCGTCTCTACTAAAAATACAAAAATAAAAATACAAAACCCCATCTCTACTAGAAATATCACATTATATATATCTATATATATCTATCTATATCTATATCTATATATCTATATATATCTATATATATCTATATATATCTATATCTATATATCTATATCTATATCTATCTATATCTATCTATCTATCTATATATATATATATATCAGGGCGTGGTGACAGACGCCTGTAATCCTGGCTACTCGGGAAGCTAAGGTAGGAGAATCTCTTGAACTGGGGACGGGGAGGTAGCAGTGACCTGAAATCTTGCCACTGCACTCCATACTGGGTAAAAAAAAAGAAAAAAAAAGAAAAAGAAAGGTTGTTTTAAGTGTGTTTGTAAGGAAGAGGGCAGACAAAAGAAAGAGATCATTCAAGATTTACACAAGATTGTTTTTATTTAGGAATGCCTTTCTTTTGAAGGTTTATAATTGGCGTTTGGTTGAGTTTAGTAAGTGTTCCAGACCCAGCTCTCTTCAGACTGATGGTTCGGAATCCATCTCAGCCTCATCTCCTTTTACCCCAGCCTGTGACAAGAAGTGCTTTCTCTGAAAATAAAAATCAGTACACACAGTTCTGTTGATATTATATTTGCTTCTTTGTCATATGTTTAGGTAGAATTAGTGGTAAGTTTTCTGAGTTTTCTCAGTGTTTAAAAAATTCTTCCTTAAAATTGGTGAGTCAACATTTATTTCCAGTTGGACTTTGCAGACATGTTATAGGTGTATACCTTGAATAACTTTCTCTTTTTAAGGTTTGCTTTCTTTCACGATAAATGCAGTAACATTTGCCCTATTAAATATGTTCTAAGACTTCATTAAACACACACTAAAAAACAGAATCTTAAGTATAGGCATTTTCTGCTCATGTATCACTCATCTACTTACTCCAAGAAAAGTTGATCCTGAAGAGATGAATTACTGTTTTTTTTGTTTTTTCTTTTTAAAGTTATTTAGGGAAGGCAGTGTGTATTTAGGTAGGTATGTACCTATGTGGTTATTTGGTTGTTACTATGTTATGGACCAGCCTTCTGTGATAAATTGTAGAGTTTATTTTGTTACGTTGTTGCAGCAACTTCCTTGACATTATTAGAGGGGCAGATTTCCATTTCCTGAACAGCAACTTAATAACAACTCTTGATGAACTTGAATACCATCAGTAGGTCTATTCTCAGTTTCCTTCTCATTTGGCTAAAGAAGTGGTCTCTTCCCTGCTTTATTGCATAGGCATGAACATTGAGTTATTTTTTCATTGCTTTGGACATTGATTCTTTCTAATGACTTCCAGTAGGCTACCTTTCAGATCATTCTTCTTTATAGTTTTACAAAATGCGTCATACATTTTAAACGCATCTTCCGTTTCTCTATGTTTCATAAAAAGACAATTTGTGTTTAGATCTCATCTTTCTGGGAGTTCTTTGAGGCTTATATTCCTAATCTTTCAGGTGGGACCAGTCTTCAGGAAGTTATTCGGAGTTTGAAAAGATAAGCAGTTTATGTGAAGTGTGTGTGTGAAACAACCCTAAGTTAAAGCCTAAAGTAATCTACAAAATAGTATTTTTGTCTCTTTGTATATATTTCTGTGAACATTCACAGTTTGGAATTAAAATACGGTGCCCTTACGAACTATAATCTATGACAATTATCTTTAAACGTCCAAGCTGTGAAGCAGTAGAAAAATCTACTGTGATTTGGGTAAACTTTTCTTTTCTTAACTTTCTTTGTTATCTTGGAAAAACATAACATATTACTAATATATTTTTTTAAAAATTTGTCAATGTTCAGTAAAGTACAGAAGGCACGCTTTTAAAATAAAATGCTTAATGTTTAATTCAGCACAACTAAAAAAGAAACCAAAGTTTTCTTAATTAAAATTAGTTATGATAATTGTATTATGAATCAGCAATATTCCCAAAAGGTGGCATGCTTGAAACGTGGAATATGTTTGCTACCAAACAGTCTTAAAATCTACAAAGAAAAGAGGAATATTATTGAAAGACTCTTATGACAATTGTCTTTTTTGAAACATTTGTGCACATTCTAAAACAGGTTATAAAAGTTATCCAAGTGTGATGCTCTTGATTATTAAAAGCTAAACATTTCAAGTCAGTCTGTCAATTAGTATTTTTGACTGAATAATTGAAATCTTTTTCAGTAATGTTTAAATTGCACTATGGCTTTTCCAGATTTTATATGTATCTAAATCTGTATCTATCTGTATGTCTTCAATTAAAATCCCCACTTTATTATGTCACAAAAATGAATTAATGTTGGAAATATTTGTGAATACATAAAAACTTTATGTGAGATAGATACAGCATAAAACAAAAGTTAGCAGGTTATAATATACAAAAATAAAATATTTTCTTTTTGGACCTAGCAGCATCATTTGTGTAATGCATAATGATAAAAGATGCATTAGGTCATGATAGTTCCCAACATGTATTTTAATGGTATATCAACCCTTCTTTTCCTTGCAGTATCATAGTAATCACTTGTGTGTATTTGCATGTTCAATTTTACAAAATCAAAACAATGTGTACCTAATACCTAATGTTTAAAATAATTATAAATTATAGGTTTATTTTGTTACTTTGTTGCAGCAACTTAGCAACTTCCTTGGCTCACATTCCCCCACCCCTGTTTTTTTGGTGGTGGTGTTCTTGCTTTTGTTTTGAGATGGAGTTTCACTCTTGTTGCCCAGGCTGGAGTGCAGTGGGATGGTCTTGGCTCACTGCAACCTCTGCCTCTTGTGTTCAGGCGATTCTCCTGCCTCAGTCTCCCAAGTAGCTGGGATTACAGGCACCCACCACCATGCCTGGGTACTTTTGTATTTTTAGTAGAGATGGGGTTTCACCATTTTGGTCAGGCTGGTCTCAAATTCCTGACCTCAGGTGACCTGCCCATCTTGGCATCCCAAAGTGCTGGGATTACAGGCGTGAGCCACCACACCTGGCCATATTTCCCCCATTTTTAATCAATCCATTGCTAAGCATCCAATGGACTGTACTCCAAAAAGCTAATTTGTTTTGAAATTGGAATTTGTTTTCTATAGACTCAGCAGTAATAACATTGGGTAAGGTTTCATACTAACTTCATGAACTTACTTAAATGATAATGCAAATGAAATACACTTAAAAATTTTCTAATGTAGCAATATACACGGTTGCATACTAGTTATTAATCACTATTCACTAGAAAATAAACTTGGAAATTAATGAACATTTAAGCTATTTTTAAAAAACTTACTATGAATACTTAAATCCAGCCAAAACCCCTTGGATTGTTAACTCTGTTTACCTTAAATAAGATCAGAATCGAGTTAGAAGTGGTCAGACACAGTGGAGCAAATCTTTCTGTAGAAGAAGAAACAGAAGGTTTAGAAGATAGCGGGAAATAATGCTTGAGCACCCAAGGGCTCTGAAGGCATAAGCCAGGTAGTGAAAGCTCAAATCTGGTCCAAGAGCTGTGAAATGGTAAGAAATTAAAAAAGAAGTCCGAAACCACATGTGAGTAACGTGAAAGACATGGAATGAAGCAGGCTTCCCACCTGACATGTAGGGGGAAGGAATCAGGCACTTTGGAGAATTTCTTCCCAGACATGAAGCTGGGGAATTTTAATTGATAGTGACAACTGGGCGCATAGCAGTTGCTCTGTAAACTCAAAGAGAAAGAACTTTGTAGAAGTCTTACTACCAACCAACAAGTACTTTTCCTCTTTCTTCAACAGACCCTGTAACCAAACCACAAATCCATAAATCATACAGGTGAATTCCCATAGCTCTAGTATGAATTACTTATACATTAAACATTTTACAGATAAATGACACTCATTGTTGGTCATATAAATATTACAGTGGACCCATGTTAAGCTATTGTGGAAACACAGAAGAAGAGACTCAAATCAAATTGGAGAGAATATGAAAGACTTTCAGATGGCCACAATACTTCAGCTGAAAGTTGAAGAGAATAATTTTGTTAATGGCATTGCAGCTGTTGTGTGCTGAGGTATTAATGAGCCCCTACATTGGCTCAGGTGAGAAATATTATAGGATTGATATGTAGCAGAAAGGATGAAGAGGACATAAACTCAAAAGTTATTTAAGAATCTAAAAATGTGTGGTTCAGATGAAAAGGAGTTTAGAATGATGCTTTGATCTTCTTCTAGTACAACTATATCTTTGTTGTTGCTTTTCAAAGATACAAGGAATACTTGAGGAGGTGTATGTTTGAGGAGAAAGATACTGAATTTTTGTTTGGACACAGCAAATTTGAGTTGATCATTGCATTAGGGTTCTCCAGAGGAACAGAACTAATAGTATAGATGTATATATGAAGGAGAGTCTATTGAATATTGACTCACACGATCACAAGGTGAAGTCTCACAATAGGCCATCTGTAAGCTGAGAGGCAAGGAAGCAATTACAAGTCCCAAAGCCTCAAAAGTAGGGAAGCCGACAGTGCAGCCTTCAGTCTGTGGCTGAAGGCCCGAGATTCCCCTGGCAAACCACTGGTGTTTCAGTCCAAGAGTTGAAAAGCTGAAGAACTTGACAGGAGACTGATGTTTGAGGGCAGGAAGAATGCAGTATGGGGAGAAAAATGAAGGCTGGAAGAGTCAGCAAGTCAGCTCCTTCCACCTTCTTCTGTCTGCTTTATTTTGGCTGTGCTGGCAGCTAATTACATGGTGCCCACCCAGATTGAGGGTGGGTCTGCCTATTCCAGTCCACTGACTTAAATCTTAATCTCCTTTGGCAACAGACACACCCAGGAACAATACTTTGCCTTCTTCAATCCAATCATGTTGACACTCAATATTAACCATCACAGTCATGTATTATACATGAAGGAAAATTTAATATAATATTGGAAATGTATGCTCATACATTCCCTATCCTATAGATAATGTAAGGACTCAATATTAACCATCACAGTCATGTATTATATATGAAGGAAAATTTTATATCATATTGGAAGTGTATGCTCATACATTCCCTATCCTACAGATAATGTAAGGACAGAGACTCCCGTTATTTTTTCTATATGTTGAAAGAGATCTTCCCAACCCTGCCCCTGTATGTACCATCCTTAGATTTCTCTACCACAGATTGTAGCCAGTCTGTTTTTCTCCAGTTGTTCAGTCCAAGAATATGAGGTCTTATTTGACTCTTCTCTCCTGCTCACATTTACTTGAAAGTCCTGTTAATGCTACCTAACATTACATCTGGATTTCAAACACTTCTCTGTGCATCCACTTTCTCACTCCTTTCAATTCATTATCATTTCAAACCTGAAATATTGCAATGACCTACCCAATGGTTTACCAGCTTCTAGCTTTTACCCAAGAACTATTTTCAATGTGGCAACCAGAATGACCCCTTAAGTAAAAGTCAAATTATATCACTTCTCTGCTCAAAACCCTGAAATGGCTGTCCATTTCACTCAGGATACAAACCAATGTCTTTAAAGTGACTTACACAAAATGCCTACATTACCTCTTCCCTCATAACCTACTATTCTCCCTCCTGCTCACTCAGCTCCAGCCGCAGTGGCCTTTTTCCAGGCTTTCGTACATACTGTCATATTTGAACCTCAGGACCTTTGCACTGGCTGTTTCATCTTCCAAATATCCTCATTAGCAGCACCTTTGCCACTTTCTGCTATCAGTTCAATTATCACTTTCTACGCTCTGTTCAACTATTCTATTTAGAAATGCAATCCAACCAAGCACTTTTCTCTTCTCCACATTTTCTTTTCCAGATAGAATTCTAACTTACCCAATTTATTTGT
Source organism: Homo sapiens (assembly GCF_000001405.40). Taxonomy (NCBI): domain Eukaryota; kingdom Metazoa; phylum Chordata; class Mammalia; order Primates; family Hominidae; genus Homo; species Homo sapiens. The sequence continues at coordinate 146,169,222 of NC_000007.14, forward strand.
ACATTTTTCCTACTGTCTCTGCTATTAGAATGTAAGCCACATATTAGGGATATTTATCTCTTTTTTCCACAGAGGTATGTCAAGAATCTAAAGTAGTACCTGACATATAGTAAGTGCTTGATAAATATTTTTACAGCTTTAGGAGATAAAATTGAGAAATGAAAAATGTCTATATTGAAGGCATAATGTGATGATTTGATGCAAATATACATTGTGAAATTATTACCACAATCAAGCTAACACATTGGTTATCTCACGTAGTTACCTTATTTTTTGTGATGAGAACACTTAAGATCTATTCTCTTAGCAAATTTCAAGTATACAGTATAGTATAATTAACTATAGGCACCATGTTGTACATTTGATTCTCAGAACTTATTCATCTTAAAACATTTCTCCATTTCCCATACCTCTGATCCCCTGACAACCACCCTTCTTCTGTTGCTGTGATATGATTTTTTTTTTTAGATTTCACGTATCAGTGAAATCACATAGTATTTGTCTTTCCATGTCTGGTTTATTTTATTTAACATAATATATTCCAGGTTCATCCATGTTGTTGCAAATGGCAAGATTTCCTTATCTTTTAAGGTTGAATAATATTTTATTATATATATCATTGTTTCTTTATTCATTTATTCGTGGATAGGTACCTAGTTTGTTTTCCATATCTTAGCTACTGTGAATAACGCTGCAATGAATGTAGCAATGCAGGTATCACTTCAAGATATTGATTTCATTTGCCTTGGATATATACCCAAAAGTGGGATTGCTGGATCTAGACTTCCTTTCTTTTCTTTTTTTTTTTTTTTTTGGAGTGGGGTGGTCTCACTCTGTTGCGCAGGCTGAGGCTGGAGTGCAGTGGTGCCATCTCGGCTCACTGCAACCTCTGCCTCCTGGGTTCAAGCAATTCTCATGCCACAGCCTTCCAAGTAGCTGGGATTACAGGTGTGCACCACCACACCCAGCTAATTTTTGTATTTTTAGTAGAATGGGGTTTCACCGTGTTGGCCAGGCTGGTCTCAAACTCCTGACCTCAGGTGATCTGCTTGCCTTAGCCTCTCAAAGTGCTAGGATTACAGGCATTAGTGACCGTGCCAGGCACAATAGTTCTAGATTTCTGATGAAACTTTGCAGTGTTTTCCATAATGGCTGTACCAACTTACATTCCAACCGAAGGGCACAAGGGTTCCCTTTTCTTCACATGCTTGCCAACATTTGTTATTACTCATCTTTTTGATAGTTGATAAATACTTGTTGTATTAAAAATTAGATGTTGAATATCACTAGTTTTTTTTTTACAGGTGCAAGCCACTGCACCTCACCACTAATATTTTTAAATATGGTTTTTGTGGTCATATGTTAACATAGAAAATATGAAAATATTAAGAAAACTAATTTTTAAAAAATTGAAGAAGAATATGATTAGGTTGAGTTAAATATGAATGGCTTTTAGAGCTATGCAAACAATTAAAACTAACTGACAAGAGAGAATTTGTAAAGAGATTAAGAGTGATTCATAAGTGCTGGGTATGGTGGCTCACACCTGTAATCCTGGCACTTTGGGAGGCCGAGGCAGGCGGATCACGAGGTCAGGAGTTCTGGACCAGCCTGGCCAACATAGTGAAACCCTGTTTCTACTAAAACTACAAAAAATTAGCCAGACATAGTGTTGGCTGCGTGTAATCCCAGCTACTCAGGAGGCTCAGGGAGGAGAATCGCATGAACCTGGGGGGCGGAGGTTACAGTGAGCCGAGATTGCGCCATTGCACACCAGCCTAGGCAACAGAGCGAGACTCCGTCTAAAAATAAATAAATAAATAAATAAATAAGAGTTATTCATATGTGTGGATATTCACCTAGCAAGGGAACAGCTTTCTGGATTTTTTGTGTGTTTGTTTTTTCATTATATTCTGCTATACTGAGTAGAGTTTTCCATTAAAATTTTTCCTGATTATTATCAATGGACAATCACCAATCCTTCTTAGCTTTAAATAACCTCTCTAGGCAAACAAGAACTAAGTAGAAAAAAATATATTTGAGACAAAACAATATTTTATAGTATAGTTAGGTAATTATTGCGTTTGGTAGTTTTTGCAAATTTAATTGTATTTCTTTGAGCCTATTTCTTTGATATTCGTTATTTAGAGGTGCTGAAAGAGGGAAGCACCAAAATGAATCACATATGACAAGTATACATACAAGCAGGTTTAAAAAAAACCAGCAAAATATTTTAAATAGCTAAATAATTTTCTATTTGTCATATTTTAAATCTCACTTAATTATAATCATTATAGGTTCAAGGTTTGTTTTAATCAACTCAAGTAATATTTTCTGGAAAGCTATGAGCAAGTGTTTTATGAATTCTAACTCTTTGGTATCAAAAACACAAATTGGCCTGTTTCGTTTTTCATCATGCATCAACACCAGTTTGGGAATTTTCTTTGGCCAAAATTTCTATTAATATGTAAAAGAAAAGATGTGTTTTCTTAAATGCTCTGGAAATAGTATCATAAAACATATATAATGTGTAAATTTAATAAACTTTTAAAAATATTGAAATGAACATCATATATTTTTGAATGATGTGTTGATATCTTAAATAGTGCTACAGAGGTAACAAAGTTTAAATTAATTAAAATTATATTCACCTTGAATATGGAATCTATTTCATGTCATTAATTCAGCTAAAAATTAGAAACTAAATAAATTATATTATTGAAATTTAAAACATTGTAGAAATTTCAAAAAATGACAAATTTGCTTTGTACCTTTATTTCTTCTACAAATTCTTAAAAAATGCTCTTAGTATTTTTTTTTTTTTTTTTTTTTTTTGCTTATGATTTAAAATATGATATTTACTTTGGAAGTTTCTTCTTTTTTTTGTTACCAGTTCGTGTTATTTCTTGGGTTTTCTTTTTCACCTACCATCCTTGTATTTCTTACAATTTGCTTCTGAAAATACCTATTTCTTCTTTTTAACCAAATAGCTCAAGGCTGGGATAGGATGCCTCCCAGGAAACATCTGGCAATATTTGGAGAAATGTTTTGTTGTCACAATTCTGGGGAGAGGAATGCTACTGACATCTAGTGGGTGGAGGCCAGGGATACTGCTAAATATCCTACTGTGTACATGACCACCCCCAAAGCACAGAATTTTCCAGCCCAGCATATCAATAGTACCAAGGTTGAGAAATTCTTATTGAAACATACACTGCGCAGCCACCTTAGTGGTCCAGATTTCTCTACATTCCAAAAATTTTATTGAATTTATTCTCCTTTTTGACCACAAAATTCCTGATTTTTCTCTCCTCTTTCTTGTTTTCATTTCTCAGATTAATGATTCTGACTATGATGTGATTGAGGGGCATTGCCTTTGGAACCATTCAGTTACCACCACACTAGATCTTCAATAATTAATTAAGTTCTGATCATTACGTGTTTTCATTTCTGTGTGGATAACTGGAGGAATCTTGTAATTAATTAGCAACCATGTGTAGTACAGTGTTAACACTTGCTAGAAATGAGTGGGCTCTTTCAGAATTCTCAGTTTAAGAACTCTTCCTTAGTGTTTTTCAACGCATTTTGTTTGGAATACAGACATGCAAGATATTCTGCAGGGGAAGATCATGGTCTGATAGATCTGGAAAATGCTGACTTTTTGGTCCCAAGAAGCTCTGTGATATTTACCAATGAACCTGAGAGGTCCTGAAGTACTAAAGCCTGCTTAGTTTGGTTTTCTGCAGCTGTGTGTGTGTTTTTTTTCTAATAAAATTGTTTTGTTTCGTTTTAATCCCTTAAAATTCCTATTAACATCAGGAAATATTGATATAATCCTATCTGCTTTCACAAGATTCTAAATGTTCAAATCTCCTCACCAGAACAAGTAGAAGTAAATCTGCTCAAAGGATTTTTAAAAAAAACTGGCATTTTTAGTGAATTACGTGCAGAGAACTTTATATTTAGTTTTAATTTTGTTCAGTTACCTTAAGCCTTTTTTATCTTATTATACATTATTAGAGTAAATTTACATTTTTATCTAATCTCATATTAAGGATTGAATAATACACTTTTTGAAGTTTACAATAGTGTACATATTATATGTATCTTGTTTTAATTTTCTCCAGGTGTTTTTAATAATTGAATTTTCCAGTTTGTTTGCTGTAAACATTGACCATTTAGAAAATAAATTGATGTAACACTATCTGCTTCCTCAAATAATCCCCCTCACCTCCCCCCACAACACACACACTTATATCTTGCTTGTGTAGTTTATAGCATAGTAAATATACATGCGTATTTTAGGGTATAAGGCTAAATTCAAATCTGTGATGCTATATGCCATATGTTTCCTGACCTATTTGACAAATTTAATTGCCCCTTAAAGTTTCTATTGCTTCTGTAATGTTATAACTTATTTTTTGTAATAGTTGGTATATTTATTTTCTTTACAGAACAATAATTTCCATGAGAACTAGGACTCTAAAAATTGCTCAGTACTGTATGGTATGTCATATAGAGATCCTGACAGAATGCCGTACATGCAAATATACTCAGCATGTGTTAGTTGAAAACAGATGATGAGACTCCTAACTTGTAGTAGCATGTAATCTATATGTGGATAAAAGTGTGCTCAAGCAGTAGCTATTACCAATGCACAGCTCTGAATGACTAAATATCTCAATCAAGAATATCGACAATAAATCCAGGAGCTGTGGCTCAAGCCTGAAATCTCAATGCCTAGGGAAGCTGAGGTGGGAGGATCATTTGAAGTTAGGAGTTCAAGACCAGCCTGGCCAACAGTGATACCCTATCTCTACAAAAAACAAAAATAATAACCAGAGATGGTTGTGCACATTTGTAGTCCCAGCTATTCAGGAAGCTAAAGCAGGAGGATTGCGTTGAGCCCAGGGGAGGACGCAGTGAGCTATAATCCTGCCATTGCACTGTAGCCTGGGTGACAGACTAAGATGCTGTCTCAAAAAAAAAAAGGAAAGAAAAAAAAGAAAAAAAACCCAACATAACAACAGAATACCGAATACCCATAATAAGAAATGTAAGATTCTCCATGAACTCCACATTTTTGGGCTTAGTAACTTGACTCTTACCACCTAAATTCAACTCATTTAAAACTATAGGCCAGGAGCAGTGGCCACACCTGGCTAATTTTTGTACTTTTAGTAGAAACAGGGTTTTGCCATATTGGCCAGAGTGGTCTTGAACTCCTGATCTCAAGTGATCCGCCCACCTCGGCCTCCCAAAATGTTGGGATTGCCAGCATGAGCCAATGCACACAGCCTATAGTTTTAAATGAATTTTGCTGATTCTACTATAGGCTGGGCGTGGTGGCTCACACCTGTAATCCCAGCACTTTGGGAGGCTGAGGCTGGCGGATCACCTGAGGTTGGAAGTTCAAGACCAGCCTGGCCAATATGGCGAAACCCCATCCATCTCTACTAAGAACACAGAAATTAGCTGGGTTTGGTGGTGGGCAGCTGAAATCCCAGCTACTCGGGAGGCTGAGGCAGGAAGAATCGCCTTAACCTGGGAGGCGGAGGTTGCAGTGAGCCGAGATCACTCCACTGCACTCCAGCCCAGGCGGCAGAGCGAGACTCATCTCAAACAAACAAACAAAAACTATAAAGAAAGCACCCAGAGGAGGAAATAATCAATAAATTACATATTTCCTGGACAAATAATACTTCATAGATGCCCCCAACTTTCCCATTCATTGCTAAAATCTCATCATAAGGTTGTAAATCCAGGATTACATGGAGCACAAGTTTCACAGATGTTGTTTGACTCATTCATTCATTCCTTATTCATTCAATATGAATTTATTATATTTTAGGTACCAAGCTATCGGCTGAAACCAGCTGTTAGAGGATGGAGAGTATCCAGATTGTTAAGGAAGAAATGGGTAGATCATCTGGTCAGTAGTAATAATGGTAATGGATCCCCAGAGGCAGAGTCACCTTGGGGAATATAAAATGCATTTTAATTTGAATCGATAAGGAGGCTGATATTGTGAATCATTAAAAAATAAATTTGAAAAATGTAAAGTAGTGACAGAAGCACATGGTCACCAGGCAAGAAGGCTAAGAGGCAGTTTTGAAGCCACTGCAAGGTATTCTTTGAGGAAGTGAAGGATGAAAGCTCTGTGTTTAGGTTTCTGGTTCTAATACATCCTTTAACAAGGCCATATTGTAAGAGAATGGTTAAGGTGGGGCTGTTCAGTTGGAGTGAAATTGACCGTTAATGATCCATCTCAGTATGATGGGCAAAGATGTATTACATGAACCTGGTATCAGAAGAGTGTAATCTTTGTAGCTCTCACCTATGATTACATGATTGCCATTAATTTTAGAATCTACGTGGAATCTTAATGATTGTGAATGACTGAAAACCATTAAGAAAACTTTAGAGACTTTCTGGATAAAATGCAATGACTAAGTTATTATTCGATTTATATGAATAAATATATTCTTAGTCTTTATGTGCTTTTCGGTTTCCATATGCACACCCTTTAGTTCTAAGTTTGGATTTTCCTCTATAATATTACAATTGCTATTTCTTTGTCTGTCTCTCTCTTCCCTCCTCACTCCATTCTTTCCAGTATCCTTGTCTATTTTTCTTTCTTTCTCTCTTCTTTTTCTATTGTTGCATCACTGGCCATAACCCTATTGCAGTTGTGAAATATTTAGTGGCCTCAGCTTATGTCCCTAGTGGGAGCTATGGAAAGTACAGAAAAATGAAAAGTGACTCACGTTATTCTAGTGTGTCTCTCACTTTCCACAGCTACAGTTATTGCTACCCTTGGGGAAATTTACATACACTATAAATAGAAATATATACTTTAGAAAGACATTTAAACTTCTTCTTTTACATGTCAGAATAAACAAAAGTACTAGTAAAGAAATTATTTCTGCACTAAATAATGAATTGATCCTCATAATGCCCTGTAGGTATGGCATATTGAGGGACAAAAATTATAAGTCTGATTTCAAACTTCTAAGTGTTGAAGACTCATGTTTGATAATTTGATAATTGGGGGAAAAACAGAGCAAATAATTCCCTTTTTGTCTATGGATCATATTGCCTCTCAGTTCCTTTAGAAAAATACAAGTTAATTAAGCTTAGGGACTGGAGGCGTAAAGGATAGTAAAAGGAAGAAAAATAATTTAGCTTTCAGAAGATCAAGAGTACTAGGGGAAGTGATTTTGGCTCTCATTTTTTATTGAAATAAAAATTGACAGAGAATTTGGACATCCTTTGGAAAGCCAGGCAAAGGAAATTCAGTTTATCATAAACAGGATAAAAATCAGAATATCCAATTCCCTGGGAATCAGAAATTCTCCATGAAGCTGAATTCTGCTTCAGTTCATCTCTGACTCATTTTGTCATTCAAATATGTGGGATACCTACTATGCACCAAGCATTGTTTTAGCTGCCGGAGATTCAATAGAAATGATACGGCTAAGTTCCTGGCCTCCGTGAACCCGACATTCTGATGTGACTGCTTTATTATTAGATAATGTGTAAGCAAATTTGCCATTGTGTGTTCTAAATTAAGTAAATTGGATTTAAAAAATTTAGAAAGACTATCTTTTGGTATTCTTACAACTTACTATTTAAAATAATACACCATTTGAAAGAAGGTTTTGTGCCTCTAGCTATAGCCACAAGTGGCTTCATGCCTTCAGAAGGGGTCAGGGAAGACAAGCAGCCAGGAGGCAGTAGGGACAGAATAGTTGCTTTGAATAGAGACAGGTTTAGTCCAGTTTTGCCTGAGAGGGTTAGAGATCCATTCTGCTCTCTGTCCTTGCCATGGATTCTGTTGTCTTTCACTCCAGCCCCTTCTGCTCAACATGCATCATTCTTTGTTTCCACTCTGCAGTCCTTTCATGCTGCTTACTTAGGTGTTGTAAATTTTGAATGACTCTAATGTCTACAGCATTTCCTGAATTTTACATCTGGACAGTATTGAAGGGCAGCGGGGCCTCCCAAAGAGCCTGTTTTGCTTGACTAAGTTCTTTTGCTGTATTGATTTAGTATAAGAAATTCTGGGATAATGTTCAATTTCTTCATGGTTCTTAAAAATTTCAGGCATCAACAAAGGCTGTGTATTCCAGGCAAGAGATACAATATGAAGAAAAAAAACAACAACAGACTATTATCAGCTTGTTCAAACACAAATCTCTACAGGTTGACATTTTCTTAGGATTGGTTCCCAGAATGTGATGTATTTTCTTCTGTGGGTGTTCAACTCATTTGCTCTTACAACTGAAAAAAACAGCAGTAAAAGCCAAATTGAACCAGTCCAGCTGTTATACTATTACTTTTAAAGAATGCCTCAAATTCTTAGTGTTTACTTCTAGTTTAGTTCGTACCGGATTTCTCTTCACATGTCAAGCTATGAAAAAACAAGCTGACAAATCAAAAGGTTGACTTCCCAATGTCTTCTGATAAAAATAATATTTGAACTATTCTATCTGTAACACAAGAATATGTATTTATATGTAAGAAATCCTTTGGCTCTTCCCTCTTTTGTTATTTACAATATTGGGTGCATTCTCATGATCTTTCTTTGCTATTCATTTTATTTATTTTTACTTTCCTACATAGAGAGTTCTTATTGTTTCTGTTGTTTCATAAATTTTAGAAGCCTCCAATTTTAGAACTAAAAGAACCATATTGTAGAGATTTCATGATCGCCAAGTTTAATCCTTCCTCTTACCTATGAGAATGCCTGTAGGTTGCTTGTATTTTATTTTATTTCATAAACTACTGGAACATATTCTTTATTTTTATTTTTATTTTTTTATTTTTTGAGACGGAGTCTCGTTCTGTCACCCAGGCTAGAGTGTAGTGACGTGATCTCGGCTCACTGCAAGCTCCACCTCCTGGGTTCTCGCCATTCTCCTGCCTCAGCCTCCTGAGTAGCTGGGACTACAGGCACCTGCCACCATGCCCGGCTAATTTTTTGTATTTTTAGTAGAGACGGAGTTTCACCGTGTTAGCCAGGATGCTTTCAATCTACCGACCTCGTGATCCGCCTGCCTTGGCCTCCCAAAGTTCTGGGATTACAGGCGTGAGCTACTGCACCCGGCCTGGAACATATTCTTTATGTGCTTGTATTTCTTTTCTGTTAATATTTAGATCTATAGTTTATTTGCAGCTACTGTAAATTTTGATACATCAGATTTATCGAACATGCTACAAAGAGTAAATTATGTCATAGTTTGCTATTTTCTCATTTAGATATTACTCCATACAATACAGAACATAAGCTTTGGGCATGTTTGATTAGTAATTTAAGAATCCTTTCTATCTATACAAGTAGTGACCTACGCATCCTCCATTTGGCCTCCAGTGTGCAATTCTGTGTGATTAACATTTTAAAATTTCCTATTTTTTTAATGCTAACTTTTGTAATCTTCAGGTGTCAGACGTTTAGATGAAAACAGTACATCTGCTAAATTATTGCTCAAAATATTACATATTTTATGCAAAATTGAATGGTTCACCTACAGGTAGAATGAAGAGAAACAAACAGGCAAAATTATTCTTTCAGTTCTGTTCTTATCATCATACAGTTGGGTCTGCTTATTACTAAGGTTAGATCAAAGGCCTGAGATAATTTAGCTAGTTTCCTATCTAGATAAACCTAGACTTGGTCTAAAGCCACCTAGCAGCTCTGTGACTTGCTATGATTTAGGGCTGCTGTTATCTCCCAAATACTGGTTGTAAATTAATGAATGAATCCAGAAGTTAAAGATAACTGAGACTTTTACAACATGAAGATTTTCCTGACTGAAATAAACCAGGTCATGTGTCACTCATTTATATTTTAAATTGGTTTAATTAGTCTGCTCCTCTGTGATCACCTAGTGAACATAAGCTCTTTTGGGGAAACAGAAGTTTTGAGAGAGAAGGAGATGAGGGGATAGTAAGAAAGGGATGGTTTTGGAGTGGATAATGAAAGCTATGATCAGATGAAAGTGTTGCAGATGGGAACATGGCCGTTCTGGACAGGGTATCGCCATGGATGACTTAATAACTTGGGACATGGGGTAAATAAAAATAGAACCGTAAGGAATACTTGGGGAGGGGGTGTAATTGACCCTAAAATAATTGTGGAAAGCCAAGACTATCTGATATTTTTTGATATCAAAGAAATATAACCTAGAAAGTCAGAAAAAAACTTTAGCATTTAGTTCACTAAAAGAAATAATGATCCAAACTAATTGATATGCCTGCCTTAAACACAGTTTTCTATGAATTTTAGGCTCATATACCCTTATAGGAAAAACATGATCACACACACACAAATAGCATGTTTTTCGAGAATTATTAAATATTGGGAACCTGAAGGTATCCTAGAGATCCTAAGATCCAAACTCTTCATTTAGTAAGTGAAGTAAACAAGTCCCAGAAGATTAAGTGAATTGGCCAGGTCATAGAGCCCATCTTCATGCAGGATTTTATAGTCTGAAGTGATATTTCAAAATTGGGGGATAAATGCTTCAGACCTTTCAAAATTTAATTATTGTAGAATATAGATTAGTGACTAAAATGAAAAGAAAAAGTTTCAGGAAGATAATCTCTATTATTTTGGTATAAATGTTGACGAAGAAGAGATAAAAAATATTTTTATGGCAACGGCTTGTTGGATACGTTGCCGAATTTTCTTTAAACAATATGAAATGATTTTTAGTAGGAAAGTGTCAGTGCTGTATGTGTGTGTGTATATGTTACACTTTCTCCGCCACTTCCAAGCCATTCACAGTTAAACAGGATTTCACTCAAACATTGTAACAGCAGTTGCCAAAGCACTAAACTCTGTATGTTTTTGGATGTCTTGGTACAAAGAATAAGTAACAGGAGAAACACCCTCAGGGAAAGTTTAGAAACTCTGTGTAGCTTTTTTCACTTTAATAATTACAACAGTGTTAATTCACAGCCTCTTTGACTAGACACTTAGGATTTAAGTAGCCTAGCAATTCTGCCTTCAGCTACTAGTGAGTTCTTTTGCATATTTATCAGATGTGCCCGCCTTTCTTTTTATTTCATTTTTTTCTTTTTTTCTTTCCTTTTCTCTTCCTTTCCTTTTCTTTCTTCCTTTCTTTATCCTTCATTTTTCTTTCTTTTCCTTCCTTTTAATTTATTTTTTAAAGTTGTTAAACTTTAAGATAAAATCAATGGGGCATATATCCATTCTCTATCAAAATAGATCTGCCTTATAAATATGTTTCATTTAAAAGTCGATAAATTTTTAAATTCCCAGTATTAATGTGTGATTATTTTATTTGCATTATCTCTTTTTTTAACCTAGTATATTAAAATGTATGTATTCAACACACAGCTGCTGAGGAGCTCTCTCCCACCTTCATTCTTCCTCAATCAACAGCCCTCTCTATACTAGGCACTGTTGTAGGAAGTAATGATTGTTGTAGCCTCCATTTATTCTTCATACCAAATACTAAATTATTTAGGTTCAATTTGCCGTAATGTAATCTTCACCACAGTCTTTGAAGTTGTATATCATTGTCCTCACTTTATGTATTAAACAAAATTTTAAAAAATGTTCAAAGAAGTTAATATCACCAAGGTCAGTAACCAGTAAGTAAGTTTGTCGTGGTTCAAAACCAGTTCATCTGAAGTTCAGAGTCGGGTGTATGTGCTGTGCCTTGTAGACTGTGTTTGAACACAAAAGCAGGAGGAGGGATATCATATGCTACTGGTTTTCTTCCTTCTACTCTGCCTACTATCTTCTTTCTTGGCTCCACTTTTCCCAGGGCATAGTCTATAAATTTCTGAGAAACATTTTGCACTTCTGTTATGAGTAGGAACTCTTTCATGACTTCAACGTTGCATTTGAATGCATATGCTTCTGCAAAATGTACCATCATCAAGTTACTTTAAGCACTTTGGGGGAACAACATGATGACTATACCCAACTTTGCCAACATACCCATGATATGCATGATTCACTTTCATTATTTTAGTATAAATGATGCCAAAATAAATAGAATAAGGAGGTTAGGATTTAGGAGAGTTGGGTGTTTCAGCTCTGCCACTAAACATCTCTGATATTTGGGACTAATATCTTAATATTTATTGGCTTTAGCTTTCTTATCAGTAACAGAAAAAAAGTTCTAGATGTGTTTAGGGTAACATGCCATGATAAATTTTTATTATTATTTCTAATAAGAGTAGCACAAGGCTTAGCATATAGTAACATTTGCAAATCTTAAGTGTCTAAATCAATGCGGTTTTACATATCCTTCCATAACCGTGCCACTTGATAATACATTTTTTTCTCATGCCATCCAATAACTTTTTTTCTCTAAAAATAGGACTAGGATAGTAACTGCAGAATAACTAAAGACTTCACTTTTTTACTGCTCAGATGAACATTCAAAATAAGTATTATATGGAATTTTGCTGTAGTTTTATGCTTACTTGGCAACACAAGCCTGGCCTTGTTTCTGTAACTCAAGGTTTTTGACCATGAATGGAAGTTAAATTTTATAATCAGAGCATTTTCTAAGTCTTGTCCCACAAAAAAATAAAATATAATAAAATGGAAACTGTTCAGGCCCTAGAGAGAATTTGCTGGTCAAGCACATATTTACACAAGTAGAGTGCATGGCACTCTTGATATTGTTTCTTTTTCAGGAGCTGATTTAATATCCTGCCTTATGTTGATGTGCAGGCTCATTGGTCATGTAGGTTAGCTTAGAGCTTATATTCCCATTCTTATTATTTCTGGAATATATTTTAATGTCCAGGTTATGTTGAAACTTATTCTAATAATAAAAATAGCTGCAATACAGAGTCTCCAGTGCTCACAGAAATAATGTAGAAACAATACTTTATTTAATAAAAAAGAAAAAGAAAATTTTAAATCTAAAATATTTAGTATCTTCTTCCCTGAAAGCAAACTGGAGAGGAAATATGAATGAGAATAACTGTGTACTTGTGTGAGAAAAAGATTCTAGAGACAAGAGAATCTTTTTGTTTGTTTGTTTGATTTTGTCTAGGTAGGATACTTCACTAGTCCAATAATCTTTCCTCTAATGTTTAACAACATTCCCACAGTAACACTCCTGAAAATGGCTATGCAATTGGGAAGCTCAAAAATTTGTAGGAGACATGTACATATTATCTGTACATATTTTCATTCTTAGGAAAATAGCAAGTCTACATATAGGCAAGCAGAGAACCATTTCCTTTCTTTCTGGTTCATCACACTTCCCCAAGAATACATAGAATGTGTTCTTCCAAAGCAGCAAAAGGGATCCTCTCATGAGTTCTTTTTTTCACAGCTTGTTACAACTGCATGTTTATGCATCTTTTCTTATCCATTTCCATCGCTTCACTTTGGATCTCTGCACAGGATTCTGACAAGCTCTTTCTCCTTCTGGCACAGCAGATTAATCCTTTTCTAACACAACTTTTACCCTTTAAATTATTGATTTGAAAATATCCTTCCCAAATCTAACTTCATTCTGTTTGACTTCGTAGGCACTCACGTCTGATCCAGCCTCACACATCGAACTTCCTCACTGTTCCCTTGCTAACTCATGTCTCTCTCACTCTTGTACCTCTCTTGTAAGATCACATTTAACCACTTCCTAATATGCTGTATCTGTACTCCAATTTTCTATCTAGGTCCTGCTCATCTTTCTATGTCCTATTAAATACCACCTTTTAGTGAGAGCTTCTCTTGTCATTGTTCGTATTTCTTGTTCCTTTATTTTATACATTACCATTTAATTCTATTAAAAATTCCTTTTAGCTAACAACTACAATCACAGTTATCCTATAAATGTTCTCTTCTTGGAATGGTATTTTTGGACATTCCATGTTTTGCAAAAGGCTTCTGTTTTCAAGATTTAAGCTTGATTCTGCTTTACTTTATAAATGTGTGCCATGTCCAGTGCCTCTGTTATTACCTCCCACCAGAGGATGCCAGGCCTTGAAGAACCCTGCCTGCATCTCACAATATAAGGAGAAGAAACCAGAACAATTGGTGTCTGGGATTCTAGCAGGACAGATCTCCCACTTGGTCCCATCAGCCATGGGATTCATTAGCTGCAGTTAACCCTTCATTGGTCCCAAACTCTTCTCTCTGAATATTGATGAGAAGATACCTGGAACTTTCATGGCCTTCCAGCATTTTCCCCCTGGTTTTAATCAAGCCTTTGGTAATGAGTTTGTGGCTTGCTCTCTTAATGAACCCTATGGTATGATGAAAACTGGTACCCTCAGTAAAAGGCCATCCAACTGTGACTAAAGGGCTCAGAAACAAGAGGCTGAGTCAGCCAGTGCTGCCGCAGATCTGCTGTCAGCACCATCAGGAGAATTTATCACCACACAAATAATAATAATAATAATAATAATAATAATAATAAATGTGTCACTGCAATTCCTACTAGAAACTCAACTGCCATCAGAGTGCACAAAGTCCCAAATTTATATAAGGAACAGCTGGGTCACTTCCATGACATTCAAGCTTGGGCTGGAGTAGCGACGTTTTGTCTAAGCCAACTCAGAACCCTTTATAATACTCCTCCCACCTATAATTTTCTGTTTTAGGCTCTCTGAAATATCCTCCCTTTCTGTTACCTTTACCTGACCATTACCTCGAGGAATCTCTCAAGGCTCACACTCGGAATCTTTTTTACTGCAGCTTGTAGTCCACAGTAGCTGGCTCTTTACTTTGGGCACAGCTATTGATCTCTGCCCGGAAGTATGGACTTGATCTTGGGACTTCCCCCTAGGTCTCAAGGTCTCCCTTGTGAAGGCTACCTATTTTGTTTTCCCTTTCTTCCATATGCCCATGCTCAACTCCCAAGATCCCAGATGCAGAAAAGCTCCAGCTTTGCCCCGAACCAACTACTCAGTATGCTCAAAAGCAAAAATCACGGACTATAAGTATGAGGAACTTAGGTGCTGTACTGAACTTTGCAACTCTCATAGTATCTAACAGAATGAGGTTACATGTTAAGTATTATTTGATTAATCAATTGATAAAATGTCTTGTAGATAAACAAACAAGAATCCAAATAGGACCACAAAAATGAAACCTGAGACTTCCAAAATAACCGAAATGGCAGGCAGTCCATGAGATAGTGTGGAACATAATTGACACTAAATAGACTCCAAACAACAAAAGATTGTGTAATCCTAAACACTGAAGCCTACTGTAAGAAATTATAATACTGTATGATGCTAATATGGAGAATTACAGTAGGGATTAATTAAATGATAAGAGCTAAGAGAAGAAACATTAGTTAATAGAATATATTTTAATTTTTATTTTTGTGTTCTGCTCTATTCTCTTGGTCTCAGGCTCAGCTAAATACCATACGTAGAAGGATTACCAACCTCTTCCTGAAAGCTTGAATTACAGTTCCCCAGGTGGATATTGGTACTTCATGAAGGATGGTTGGAGTTGCTGAATATTTTACAAAGGAAATGCGTGTGGCTCAAAGGATAATCTAGTTATCTTGATGAATTTATCCTTTGTAGTTGAAAGAAGTTTTGAAACATTAGACTTCAAAGAAAAGCAGGAAAGTGATTGAGCATTTATGTAAATACTCCCTAATTGCAAAAAAGTGGTTCTTAGACATTTCTAAATTGAGTGAGATAAACATCAAAAGTGCTACATTATTTTCTATTTTACAAGTGTCACTATCTCTCTTTCCCTCCATATTCAGAGATGGTTTTTCTGTATCATTTCTGCTAAAAGTTAAAGAAATAAAAACGAACATCCCATATTCCAAAAATCACGCTCAAACATGGGAGATATTTTGAATTCAGAACACAGGTTGTCCAAAAATTAATATTACGTCCAGTGGTCAGTTTCCCAGGCCAATCCATAAACATTCTATAAACCCTAGACTATAGCTTAAATCTAGTCTAAACATAACACATTTGTATTAAAATATGTAGAGTAAGCTATCCTGTAAAGATTGTAAGAAAGAAGATTAAAAAACACAATTGAAAAAAAAATACTACTTTTTAGTGCGATGGCTGGGAGGAAAGTATGTTTAATTAGAGCAAGGAACAGCAAACCAAACTGCAGACTAAATCAGGCCACCCACCTATTGGTTTATATTTTTTCCATGGCTCTTTCATCCTACCATGGCAAAGTTGAGTAACTTCGATAGAGACCATGTAACTCTCAAAGCCAAGAGTATTTACGGGTTGGAACTTTCCAGGAAAAAAAAGAAACACACAAATGCTGGCTCTGAATTGAAAGAGGAACAGGAGCTAGATGGAACTCTCTGTAAATTTTAATGTTAACTTCTGTACTGTGAGCTCCTCCAAGGGAGCAGTGCTGTGGCTCGGGCATCCTCTCTCCAGAGATGAGGCTCGTGCCTGGCACGTAGTAAGTGCTTTGATACAGTTCTAGTAAATTCCAAGGGCTTGATAAAGCAATTCCTCTAGTTCTTTCTCATTTCATTTCAGTTCAAAAATTACACATATAATTAAATATTATTTTCAGGGAGTGAACTTTTTATTATTCTTTTTTTTTTTTTTTTTGTAGAACACACCGAGCTTCTTTCTGTGGGCTAAAGTAGGCTTCAGTTTTCTAAACCATGCATGGGTATTTGGTGTAGGTACTTGGAATTAAAATAAATATTCTGTCTGGAGTATGTCCTCAGATATAAATTTTTAAGATAAAAGTCAGTAATTATCTTATTCAGTAATCTTTCCATCAGGCATTTTTATTTATGTAATGTATCATACCGAGAGAGGTGTTAAAATTGTTTCTCTCAACTTGTTTGGCAATTGCTGACAATTATTGCGTAATAGATGTGTCAGTGCATACAGCCAGATTTTTGTTAAGGATTGTAATCACTGTCAGTAAAACAAACCCTCTCAATCCCATATCATAAAATGTGTGCTAAATTCTACTCTGCATATTACTGATATTGCATTCATGTTTGCCTATTTCCATTTTCTTAATTTTATTCAGTGGTGTTTACTGAATGCCCCCAATAAAGAATAGGGAATTGTGGCTCATTTTTATCTTACCTTTACCTTCATTCCCCCAAACAGCAGCAACAAAAGCAACAGAAGGAAAAATGATTTTGTTTTTCTGTCTTCTTTCATGCTGTACATATCTTTCTTACTGTACACTTTCCCTCAAGAATTATACGCTTTAAATTTGATTTGATATATGCTTATTCAATTATACATGTTACTTGATAACTAACTTTTATCATAGTTATTGAAGTCTACATTCAATAGGTATGAATCATAAACTATTCAATTGAATCTGTACTTTCTTCCAGTTTCATATCATAATTAAAAATAACTTAATCACTTTTATAGTGTCTTGCATTTCCTTGGTGTATTATGTATTTCAAATAGACTTTCTGTTGCCTTTATATATGAATGACAATTTGGATATGAAATCCTTGGTCACATTCTTTTTTCTGCCCAAATGCTGTAATCTTCTGGTATCTAATATTATGGAAGACAAATCTGAAATAACTTGATTTATTTTTGTATTGTGGATGGCATGTCCCTTCTACCTGGAAGTTTATGGCATCCTTTATTTTTGGAACCAATAATCCTTTCACAGAATGTTTTCATGTGGTTCATTTTCATTAATTTTATGCTATTTACATTTTAAGAATGCATAATGCATTCAAACAACTTACCTCTATTCAAGAACCTAGTAAATATTAAAGCTAGGGCCAGAAATCAGTCTCTTATATCCCGTTTCTATCCTCTTTCTTCCTAGTTACTCCACTAGCCCTGCATCTTAAAACACTCATTGCAGTGTAATTGTATTTATTCTTGCAGAAAAAGTCTTAGTTTAGTCTCAAACTTAGAAATAATTTTTTAAAGTCTAGTCAGGTCACTAGTATTGTTGAGGGAAGCCCACGAATGGCTTTTTCCTAAGGGAAGAGTGATTCTGAGAGCAGGTAATTGTCACTCAGAATATCATCCCACCCAACTCTGGTAAATGTGAGTAGAACATGAAAGAACCCTCAAGCGTTAGCACCCTTGCTTCAGACATCTTCTGCTCTAACAGAAGATGGGTCACAGCAGAGGTGTTACATGTGGGAGGTAGACCACACTGTTGGCAGGCCTGATGGCTGCTTTTGGCAATGGTAGAAGCAAAGGAAGTTCACCCACTGAGAGCCGAAGAAGAGAAAATGGCATGGGCCACAAAGTAGCCAAGGATATTCTACTCCATAGCACATACTATGTGGAAAAATTCTGCAGAATCCACAAAACTATACATTATCACAGAATCAAATCCCATAAATATTGTCTTGTGATTCTTTGTGACCCTGTGACTTTCCTCTTTCCAAATTTGATATGACCTGGCTTAAGTAAGATATATTGTTTTCTTTTTACCCTCTCCCTTTTTCTTACCTTCTCCCATTCATATACTCTCTCTCCTCCCCCTCCTTCCCTCTCTTTCTCCCTCTCCTATTCTTTTCTCTGAAAACTTACTAAGGGCCATCTTTGTGATAAGAAATTCAACCAACAACACGGAACTCTCTCTTATTCAGATTCAGGTTTATTATGGCCACATTTTCTGCCTTCCTTTGACAAATCATGGATTATTATGAAGCATGAAACCCTTCAGTCTGAAAACTATAATAACAAATGTGAGGTAGTTTTTCCACAACCCATTAATACGTTTCTATTGCTAACCTGCCTGTTCCCATGCTCTTGTGCATTTATTATTAATACTGTGAGCAGAACAGTTCCTCTGAGATTTGGATAGTTTTAAAACTCACAATTCTATGCCTTTCTCTATAATCGTAATATTTTAGAGTATGTATTAGGCTATGGATAAATTAAAACATATCACAATAGAATATGTAATGAAGACCTTAGGTGAGTTTATCACAAATGACAAAGGAAAACTATCCCTGAAGAAAAAACAATCCATATTGAAACAGGATAAGAACAACCACAAAAAATTCCATAAGGAATCTGATGAACATTTGAGTGACTGATACTGAATTCAGCCCATTCTTCTTGATGTGAGTGAGATTTGAAACAGTACAGTGAGCTTTTCCAGTATAGCATTTTTGGAACGTGAATTACCGTACATACCACTAACATAGAACTCAAAGTATATTAAGGCTGCAAGAGAGCTTGGCAGTCATTTAATATCTTACTTTTCAGATGGAGAAACTGATGCAGATAAAAGGCAGTTGCACGCCCTAAGCATTTAGCTAGTTCGAGGCAGAACCTGAACTAAAGCCAAATGTAAAGTCTCTTAATGCCAAGTTTTCTTCACTTTATCGAGTTTCCTTCTGTGTCCTGCAACACATGGCTTAGACAGGTTAATTTGTTCTAGAAAATGTTAGATATACCTTGGACTCATCTGATTCTAGGCTATTATGTCAAAGTAATATGTCATTTCAGGTGATTCTCTTAATATGAGACATAAAATTATTCTCAGCATGAAATTTGAAATGGTTTAAAAATTTTGCAATCAGCATACCCACCACCAACCAAATAATAAAGTTCATTTATTTTGCATCTTATATCATGAATAGACTAGAGCACACCAAACCACTGAGTTATTGAACTTGCATCTGGCAGAAATCAATTTGACATCCCAATTTGGCTATTTCTAGGCCATATGAGTAATGTCATAACTGTGTTACATCAGTGGTTTTTCAAATGTGGCTGTACATTATAACCACCCAGGTAAAATTAAATCAGAATCTCTGGAGGGAGGGCCTGAGCTTCTGTTTGTGATAAACTAATTAGAGAGTTTTACTAGTAATGATGTGTTATAGTAATTATGAATTTTATTACACAAAAGCTACTTTTAATCACAATACTCAGAAACACAGATTGATAATAAATCTATTTGTAATCATAAAGTAAAAATCAAAGAATGAGAAATGCTTCAATTTTAGACATTTTCTAATTCTCTCAGGTAATGAAATTCGGACTTTGTTCTTTGATCCATACTCTCTCAATCTGTAAAATAGAATAACATTTCTTGTCTCACAAAACAATTACGAAAATTATGTTGGCCACATGATAATATGCCTTACATTGTGTACATAGTTAATGCTCAATTAATATTATCCTTGATGACAATGGTGATGATGATGTTGATTAATAATACTTAATAATACTTCAGCTTCAATAAATTAAATAGGTTTCCGGTCCTATGCCCATTCAAGGCTTGCATGAGGATTCCAGCTTGCAATATAGACATCTTAGTTTAAATTCTTACTACCACTTATAGATTATTTAGTGGAAAGCTAAAAGTATTAGTAGTTTAAGACTAATGGGGCATCTTAGAGAAACACAGAAGGTGGAACAAAGTCTATACATATGCACAAAGCAGTTTAAAATTAAACAGATTTAAGAATTTAGACATTGTCAAAGAGAAAGTTAAAGAGTAGATTTTCTGGTTTGACCTTTTAGCAAGAAAGTAAATGAGAAGAGAAGAGATAGGACCATGGAGGTGACATTTTGCAGGTGCGACTGAGTGAGGGCCCTTGAAATTCAACATAAATCATTTGAATTTCAACATTCAGATGTGATTCTTGAACACTTTTGCTCATTTAATGTAATCATTTGAAGCCTTATCACACTTCAATTGAAAGTAACTTACAGCTGTTTATATTGAGAGTTTATCATGTAGAACACTCTTTTAACAATATGAAATACTGTCCAATCACTCTGGTTGCCATATCTAATGTTTCTTTTGCACATGATCCCATAAATTACTTTAATGGAGGAGTAATTTTCTCACATAAGTTTGTGATTTTGTGGCTAATCTTCTGAGAACATACGTTCACAGACACTAAAGACAGCACTCTGACTTATAATATGTCAGGTAATAACGGAGATATACTTCAAAGAAGCGATTTCCTTACTGACCCTTGGTAAGAACCCAGGAAAATGATGCAAACCTCATGCGTTCGTTTGTTAATTAGGAGACTGAACATTCATTTCTACTGCCTTTTATATGTGCAGGAAGGCTTCTGGCTCTGGCCATTCTGCAAACCAAGGAGATAAGCAGTGACCTGCAGTGGTGCTCTTTCCCTGTTCTGGGCTTTATTCTTCTATGCAGGAACCAATATCAGCACTGTCGTTGAGTTGTACTTCATCAACTTAGAAAGACTGTTGAAGTACGATAAAGGATGCACAAAGCTGTTTTATTTCAGTAGACCCTTTTTATCAGTGTCTGTGATAATTGTAGCAATAGCATGGCTCTACCACATCAACAAACCATCTGTGGGCCCTTTTTCACCATTGCTCTGGCCCTTTCCAGAAAAATGTGCCACATCCCTGTGGTACCAAAACCCTTTGGCAGGAGATATCATGGCTTCAAAATAAGAGTGTCCACCTTCGCCTTACAATCAGGATTGATGCATTCAGATTTGGTAAAGAAACACATAAGAAGCATTCTCAAAACTTTTATAAGTGATAATGGAAAGTAAAGCAGAATTGTTACATTCCTCATGAAGTTCAAGAGGTATACATGAATACCAAAGTGACAAAATCCTCTTGCTCACAGCACCAATAGTGACAGTGACCATTTAATACATGCTTTTTTTAATGAAAAGAAGAAGACAGATCCCTTCTCTCTCTTTCTAAACAGACATCTAGTCATTAAGAACATGAAAAATGTCATTCATGTTTTCCCTAAAAAGCATTTTCTAAAATTTAGTGGTCCAAGAAGTAAATGTCCAGTGTAGCAACAAATTACAACACAGCAAAATTTGACTTTAATCATATGAATCTATCACTCACAGTTGCAGAGGTTTGGCTAAGTTCATAATGTAGGTATTATGTGTATGTAGTATTCTTTCTGGTCACCAATTATTGGGGGAACCACCCCCAATAATTCAATGTAGGTTCTTTTCAGATATCGGGGGAACCACCCCTGATAATTCAACGTAGGTTCTTTTCTATTTTCCCTGAGTGTTGGCTGGTCTGAGTAATAAAGGGAAAGAGTACAAAACAGACAAATTTTAAAGCTGGGTGTCCAGGGGGGACATCATATGTCGGCAGGTTCTGTGATGCCCCCTGAGCCGCAAAACCAGCAAGTTTGTATTAGTGATTTTTAAAGGGGAGGGAGTGTACGAATAGGGTGTGGGTCACAGAGATCACATGCTTCACAAGGCAATAAAATATCACAAGGCAAATGGGGACAGAGCGAGATCAGAGGACCGTGGTGAAATTAAAATTGCTAATGAAGTTTTGGGCACATATTGTCATTGATAACATCTTATCAGGAGACAGGGTTTGAGAGCAGACAGCCGGTCTGAGTAAAATTTGCTAGGCAGGAATTTCCTCGTCCTAATAGGCCTGGGAGTGCTACGGGAGACCAGGGCTTATTTCATCCCTTATCTTCAACCGTATCAACCGTATAAGACAGACACTCCCAGAGCGGCCATTTTAGAGACCTACCCCTGGGAATGCGTTCTCTTTCTCAGGGCTGTTCCTTGCTGAGAAAAAGAATTCAGCGATATTTCTCCTATTCACTTTTGTAAGAAGAGAAGTATGGCTCTGTTCTGCCCGGCTCTCAGGCAGTCAGACCTAATGGTTATCTCCCTTGTTCCCTGAACATTGCTGTTACCCTGTTCTTTTTTCAAGGTGCCCAGATTTCATATTGTTTAAACACACATGCTTTACGAACAATTTGTGCAGTTAACGCAATCATCACAGGGTCTTGAGGCAACATACATCCTCAGCTTACGAAGATGACAGGATTAAGAGATTAAAGTAAAGACAGGCATAGGAAATCACAAGAGTATTGACTGGGGAAGTGATAAATGTCCATGAAATCTTCATAATTTATGTTCAGAGATTGCAGAAAGACAGGTGTAAGAAATTATAAAAGTATTAATTTGGGGAACTAATAAATGTCCATGAAATCTTCACAATTTATGTTCTTCTGCCATCGCTTCAGCCGGTCCCTCCGTTCGGGGTCCCTGACTTCCCACAACAACCAATAACTTTATTTAGTACGTTTAAAATATAGATTTTTCTCTTGACTTTAGTGTTCAAAGCAGCCTGTAAATACTTGTAACATGGAATTTTTAGCCTGCCCCCCAAAAAAGCATTCTAGTTTCTTTTCACAACATACTGCTAAATCAGAAACCCTAAGATATTAGCCTGTTCTCATGCTGCTAATAAAGATGTACCCAAGATTGGGTAATTTATAAAGTAAAGAAGTTTAATGAACTCACAGTTCAGCATGGACGGGGAGGCCTCATAATCCTGGTGGAAGGCAAAGGAGAAGCAAAGTCACATCTTACATGGTGGCAGGCAAGAGAGCATGTGCAGAGGAATCCTCTAACACCATCGTATCTCATGCGACATATTCACTATCATGAGAACATCATGGGAAAGACCCACCCCCATGATTCAGTTACCTCACACTGGATCCCTCCCATGACGTGGGAATTATGGGAGCTACAATTCAAGGTGGGTGGGGACACAGCAAAACCATATCATTCTGCCCTCTGAAATCTCATGTCCCCACATTTCAAAACCAATCATGCCTTCCCAACAGTCTTGCAAAGCCTTAACATATTTCAGCATTAACTCAGAAATCCATAGTCCA
Organism: Homo sapiens; assembly: GCF_000001405.40. Taxonomy (NCBI): domain Eukaryota; kingdom Metazoa; phylum Chordata; class Mammalia; order Primates; family Hominidae; genus Homo; species Homo sapiens. The sequence continues at coordinate 146,192,815 of NC_000007.14, forward strand.
AAGTCTCAACTGAGAAAGGGCAAGTCCCTTCTGCCTATGAATCTGTAAAAGTGAAAACAAGTTGGTTGCTTCCTAGATACAATGGAGGCACAGGCATAGGGTAAATACACCTGTTCCAAATGGGAGAAATTGGCCAAAAGGAAGGGGCTACATGCCGCATGTGAAGCAAATCCAAAATCCAGAGAGGCAGTCAAATCTTAAAGCTCCAAAATGATCTCCTTTGACTCCATGTCTCACATCCAGGACATGCTGATGCAAGAGATGGATTCCCATGGTCTTGGACAGCTCCACCCCTATGGCTTTGCAGGGTACAGCCTCTCTCCCAGCTGCTTTCATGGGCTGGCATTGAGTGTCTGCAGCTTTTCCAGGCACATGCTGTAAGCTGTCAGTGGTTCTAACATTCTGGGGTCTGGAGGATGGTGGCCCTCTTCTCACAGTTCCACTAGGCAGTGCCCCTGGGGACTCTGTGTGGGGGCTCCAACCCCACATTTCTCTTCTGCACTGCCCTAGCAGAGGTTTTCCATGAGGGCCCCTCCCCTGCAGCAAACTTCCACCTGGACATGCAAGGGTTTCCATAAGGCCTCTGAAATCCAGGTGGAGGTCCCCAAACCTCAGTTCTTGACTTCCGTGCATTCACAGGTTCAGTGCCACATGGAGGCTGCCAAGACTTGGGGCTTGCACCCTCTGAAGCCACAGCCGAAGTTGTACCTTAGCCTTTTTTAGCCATGGCTGGAGCAGCTGGGGCAGAGGGCACCAAGTCCCTAGGCTGCAGAGCAGAAGGGCCATGGGCCCTGTCCACAAAACCATTTTTACTTCCTAGGCCACTGTGCCTGTGATGGGAGGGGCTGCCATGAAGGTCTCCGAGATTCCCTAAAGACATTTTCCTTATTGTCTTGCTGATTAACTTTTGGCTCCTTGTTACTTATGCAAATTTGGCAGGCAACTTGTATTTCTCCTCAGAAAATGGGTTTTCCTTTTCTATTGCCGTGTCAGGCTGCAAATTTTCCAAACTTTTATGCTCTGCTTCCTCTTAATCACTTTGCCACCTTAGAAATTTCTTCCAATGGATACCCTAAATCATCTCTCTCAAGTTCAAAGTTTCACAAATCTCTAGGGCAGGGGCAAAATGCCACCAATCTATTTGCTAAAACATAACAAGAGTCACCTTTATGCCAGTTCCCAAGAAGTTCCTCATCTCCATCTGAGACCACCTCAACCTGGACTTCATTGTCCATATCACTATCCGCATTTTGGTCACAGCCATTCAACGAGTCTCTAGGAAGTTCCAAACTTTCTCACATTTTCCTGTCTTCTTCTGAGCTCTCCAAACTGTTCCAAGCTCTGCCTGTTACTGAATTCCAAAGTCACTTCCACATTTTCAGGTATCATTACAGCAGCACTCCTCTCTACTGGTACCAATTTACTGTATTAGTCTGTTCTCACATTGCTAAAAAAGACATACCTGAGACTAGGTAATTTATAAAGGAAAGATGTTTAATGGACTCACAGTTCAGCATGGCTGGGGAAGTCTCACAATCATGGTGGAAGGCAAAGGAGAAGCAAAGTCATGTCTTACATGGTTGCAGGCAAGAGAACGTTTGCAGGGAAATTTCCCTTTATAAAACCATCATATCTTGTGAGACCTAGTCACTATCATGAAAATAGCATGGGAAAGACCTATCCCCGTGAGTCAATTACCTCCCACCAGGTCCCTGTCAGGACACTTGGGAATTATGGGAGCTACAATTCAAGATGATATTTGGGTGGGAACACAGCCAAACCATATCACCAACTGTATCTAAATTCTAATGTTAAACAAGAAAATTGTAAAATATAGGCTAATCTTTGCTTTTTATCCATACACTAATGAGCTTTATTTATGTGGAAATAATAACAAAGTTATTTTATGCTGCTAAAACTAACTTATTTGAAGTTCATGATATTTTATCCTTTAATGATTCTAAAATATGCTTGCAACCACAATCTGCTGTCTTTTCTGAGACAATGTTTTCTATATATAAGAAGTAGCAAAATGTAGTAAGAAAATGACAGAACTGGGTCTGGAGACCTGAATTCTAGTCCTAAATACACTGCTGGTCACTTCTCCAATCTGGGGTTTCCATTTGTAAAATTATATTCCACAGATATTGAAATATTTAAATACTAATCTGTGAATGTTTGTTTCTGAACCTCACTTTGTCACTTTAAAACAAAATTATGTAATTATTTTACAATAAAGAATATGGGAGAATTAATTCTCCAGCTTTGTCATTTTATTCTTTCTTCTCTAAAACAGATGCTGCAAGTATTACCAAGTGTCTTCAGCCTTGGAAAGATAAAACTTCCTTTGCTTGCTGCAGTATTTATGTATACAATTGATTCATTAAACAAGGGATGCATTTTTAAGAATGGCTTGATTTTCTTTGGAAAAAACGGTTTGCACTAAAAACATTAAATCAGGTGCAGTTTATGTGCCAATGAACCAAGGAACAGCAGACAGTAAATAAAGTTGAGAATACTGCACATTCAAACAGAAAGAAAATGAGAAGAGGAAACTGCACCAGTATTGAACTAACATGGAGGGCATAAACTAAACAGTGACTGACACAGTTTAAAATTGCTTTCATTCTTTCTCAACACTTTTCACTCAGTGGCTTCTTTACAGCTTTCAATTAACCTGCTCCCTCTGCTTCCAATTGCTCTTTCTTACTGCCAATGATATTTAAAAGATACACTAAATTATAGATTCAGAAATGTTTGGAAAAGACTCTGTTAATAGTTTTGCTATCCTCAGATGGCTTTAAAATTTTGAAGGGTGCAAACTGCTAAACTAAGAACAATATTGGTGTCAGGATTCTTGGAGACCAGAACAGTCAATCCCAGGGTGACCAGCCAGCCCAGCAGATACTGAGATACTGACTGCACTCCTGCCAATGGAAGACCATCCAGGCACAACCTCCTGAAGCCTTGGCCCTTTGCCTACAACGCACGCCTCAGAATGATGTCAGCATTTGAAAAGGATTTGTATTTACCACATCATTTATCATTATATTTGAACTTTTTAACATGTACTCTGGAAACATGTAAGTCAAACTCCCTTCATGACCACTTCCATCATGATGGTGTGAATCTCATGCCTATTATAAAGAGATCCATCATCCATGGCAGTCTACTGCTCCTGCACCTCTAGACTGGAATTGACTTGCCATGTGAGTTGTCTTGGTCTCTTTGTTTTTACAAAGTTTGACTTCTGCTTCCCCAACCTTTAGAATGCTGTAATAACAAGAAGTTTGCATATGCATATGGAATGCTCATGCACAATTACATTTGAGTGCACAGTGAGTAATGTGGTATATTAACCAACAGTGCTTAACCTTAAAAGACATTTGACAGAGAATCACCCACACTTTTCAATGAAATTAAAATGAACAGTTAGAAATAACACTTCCATGGAATTACCTTATTTATTTTAGGAGCAAAATGGAATGAAATGAATTAGAGACTCTTACACAGGCGTTAGTTCATGTTTGTCATAACAGCAAACAGAGCCATTGGCATATGTATACCAATAACTACAATGAGAGGTAGAAAGAAATGAGCACCAGCCAAGCACATGGGAGTTTTGAGTGGAGGATTAGTTACAGTTCAGAAGATCCCAAAATGTTTTGTTGATTGTCATCATTTAAGGTAAGCCCAAGACTATAGGGAAAAATTATATACAGAGAGTCAGAGGGAAAGGAGGGAGGGAGGGAGAGAGAGAGAGAGAGAAAGAGAGAGAGAGAAAGAGAAAGAGAGAGAATTGTGGGACCTAGAGATAATTACAGGATAGCTGCTTCTAGAGAAACCAGAAGAGAAGACATGGCATGTATAGAAAACTATAAATAGTTCAGCAGTCTAGATAATACTAATATATTTTTATGTACTGTCAAATATAAGTATATATTCACATAGAAAGAAACATATGCATAAAGAGACATACACCAAGAGTTAACAGGAGGCTTTTGTATTGTCGCACTACTATTGGAAATTTCCCAGTTTCTTTACTTTGTGCACTCCTAGTACTCTAGGAGGCTTCATTTTATTTCCACTAATGACAGTTTATCTTCAAGTTAGTGTGAAAGCTGCAGGCTATTATCATTGAAACACTGGGTAATATTTTTGTACAAATTTTTTTCCCCAGTGAATTTCATTTATTTCCTCATAACCTCTCTGTTTTGAAGATGGTCTCTATTCAGTGTAGGAAAATTTCTCTACTGGAAAAAAAATGGAAAGATCTGCAATATTATACAGGTTGAAAAGTTTTTCCACTTTCATTTTTCCTAGTGTATGATAGCATAAACTAGCATTTTTTTACGTTGTAAAGGCAAGAATGATGTAAAAACCAGAAAAGAATTAATGTACGTAAGCTCATTGTTATTATTCCTCATAGCAAATAATATCACAAAAGACAAAACAAAGGAATTATTTGTAGGAACTTACTAAAGAATGTCTGTTTGCACAAGTTTAAAATTTGCTAAGTCTTCTCATCAAATAAATTTAAACAGCTTACTATGAAGATTGATAGGTATTTAAACTGACCTTAGAAATCAGGTATATAATTTCTGACTTTTTGGTTTTGTAATTAAGACGTGACAGTGTGACTGAAATTTAAATTCAAGAAATTAGACCAGCAGCTATACCTTTAAAAGTACCTGTAGATTTTTGTTCCATGATACTATTTTAAAATGTACTCAAAGCTTGCAGGTTTAATTACAGGATCACTAATTTGTTTCCAGATACAAGAGACTTAAAATTTAAGTATAACTTTAAGCCAATATTTAATCATTCAATTGTTCTTCAAAATATTAATCTTCTCTGTATTTTTAAGGAAAAATGACTTATCTAGTCTAACAGTATGCTGACTTCATTTCTTTTTTCCAGCATTAAATTACATATAAACCAGTTTTTCAAGCTTTAAAAATATGGCTCAAATTAAAAGCCGGTTTCTTGAGGTTTTCAGGTATATTAGCCCATTTTCACACTGCTATAAAAATACTACCTGAGACTGGATAATTTATAAATGAAGAGGTTTAATTGACTCACAGTTCTGCATGGCTGGGTAGGTCGCAGGAAACTTAGAATCATGGTGGAAGGGGAGGGGGAGCAAGGCATGTCTTACATGGCAGCAGGAGGGAGAGAAGAGGCGGAGCTCCAGGCACTTATCAAACAACCAGATCTCATGAGAACTCACTCACTATCATGAGAACCGCATGGGGGAAATCACCCCCATGATCCAATCACCTCCCACCAAGTCCCTCCCTACACATGTGGGGATGACAATTCGGATTATAACTTGAGATGAGATTTGGGTGGGCACACAGGCAAATCATATCATCAACTATCACTAATATTCCTGCTTACAATTCAGAAATATACCCCATTTTGGTACAATTTGGAAATATAGGGAAAGTGATATATTCTCTGAGCACTTTTCCCTAAAATGTCAATTATAAATTGAAGATTCAGAAAATGTGTTGATTTTTCCAAAGTTGTGTCAAATAGGTAGATATATGACTGGAACGATTAACTCAAAAGTGAATGACTTATTCGTTATATTGAAAATAGAAAGCCCAAGTCCCAAAATAAGAGATATATTCTAATTTCTATGTATCCCCCAGGATTTGTGCCTCCCATTTGTTTAATTGGGTGTTGCTAGTGAAATGGCAGTCTTATTAGCTTTAACGTATTTAAATTTATGTTCCTGACTCATGTGCCTTGTTTTCAAACCAGTTCAACCATCTACGTTATGGTATCATCTTACATCTTCTATCTTAAATGTTATACAAAGTGTGTAAGATCTCAACTTGTCTTCATCCTAAGAAAAATTCCTGCAATGTTGTCAAATTTGAAATCCTTTTTCTTATATTCTAGGTTTCAGTTTTTACAGTGCCAATAAGAAGAAAAATGACCCTGGCATAGAACTTTTTTTTTTTGTTTTATCATTGGTGCTATATGTGAATTCCAAGGTAGTGTTTTGATGAGGAACATGTTTAGTGAGAATAATTTCATTGATTTCTTGGCATTTTTATTAGTATATATTGAAGATCCAGAACCATCTATTCTTTCAAGAATTATCTTAATATATCAACATATACTACATTTCCCTAATCTCTACTCTGTATTCATTTAGTCAACACAACCAAATTCATAATCTTCTTTGTATCTACATTTGTCGATTTTTTCCAAGACCCCTTTATTTTCCACTATCTCCTTCTCCAAATAATGATGGTTGTAACTGTAAGTTCTTATTCATATCCACCTAATCATCAAGTATTTCTGTTAATTCTCCCTTTAAAACATGCCTAAAAATTATTCCATCTCTGTTACTTGTTGGGGACACAATAACCTCTTAGAGATAGAATCCAGCAAATGGAGTGGATGTCATTTTTTTCTTGAAATATCAATCTAAATTTTAGTAGAGAAATAGCAGATATAATTGTTTACTTGAAATCAATATAATGCACTAATCCAAGATGCCAGGGACTAAGAACTTGAGACAGTTCAACAGGCTGAGTCATAGGAATGGGCCTGTAGGGATGGGTAGAACAGAAGATTGCACAGGGCAGGACAGAGGAACAAATGAGATAGGAAGGAATAAGAAGGAAAGATAGAGATCAAGGTGGGAGTACCTACTATAACATACAGAGAATGAAAAATAAGATCAGTTACCACAGGAGTTAAATAATTAAGGTTGTAATTTTATCACTGCACATGACTGGAAGGAAAATATCCTGTTTTGTCCCTTTTTACTTGTATACAAATGTTTCAGCTGTAATAATTTACTGTGGCCATAAAAATAAATGTTCCATTTGAAAACACTTTACCCCCACCTTTTAAAGGGTGTCGACTTCATTCAGGTCAATAGAGAAATTAGAGAGGGTAGAAGGAAAAAATTGAAGATGTGAAAGGTGATGTAGAATCAATGTGACAATGTAATTCATTTACCTTTTAATAAAAATTACACACAACTTCTCATTGCTTTTCTTTTCTTAAAGATCATGAGCTGAAATTTTAATATTTCTGTTTCTATGCTTGAAAAACAGTCTTTCTCCCTTGCCCCTACCATAAGCAGTGGCTAGCTAAAATAAACTAATCCAAAAAGTTTCAGTTCTTTCCTCAAAAAATCCCATTCAATGAAGTCCGAAAATTAGTTCTAAGGATATCTCAATTTATGAGTGACAGCTTCTGGTAGTGTGAAGAAGTAGAATCTGTCTAAAATATTCACATGATAACTGTTTTCTTTTTCCAAGACTAGAGCCATTATAAGCTGAAATATAGGTAGAGCCAGGTGCTTCACAACAATGTTTCAGTGATGGACCACTTCCACATACACAAGGATGGTCTCATAAAATTATAATACTGGCCGGGCGTGGGGCTCACGCCTGTAATTCCAGCACTTTGGGAGGCTGAGGCGGGCGGATCACGATGTCAAGAGATCGAAACCATCCTGGCCCACATGGTGAAACCCCATCTCTACTAAAAATACAAAAATTAGCTGGGCATGGTGGTACGTGCCTGTAGTCTCAGCTGCTCGGGAGGCTGAGGCAGGAGAATCACTTGAACCCGGAAGGCGGAGGTTGCAGTGAGCTGAGATTGCACCACTGCACTCCAGCCTGGTGACAGAGCAATACTCCGTCTAAACATATATATATATATACACACACACAGACACACACACACACACACACATATATATACTGTGTTTTTACTATGCTTTCCTTTGTTTCTATGTTTTTAGATACACTAATGCTTACCATTGTGTTACAATTCTCTACAGTATCCAGGAGAGTAACATGTACCAATGTATAGCCTAGGAGAAATAGGACATGCCATATAGCCTAGGTGTCTAGTAGATTATGCCATCTAGGATTGCGCAAATGCACTCTGCGATGTTTATATCATGGAATCCCCTGGAGGACACATTTCTTAAAATGCAGCCCATTTTTAAGTAACACATGACTCTGTATTCCATCTTCTAACCCTTCTGCTTCTGGAAAAGCACAGACTTCAGGCCAATACTGAGTATGGCCTCTGAACAGAACCAAAAGAGACGTTGCAGGGTAAAAAGGAGTTAATGAAAAGTTTTTTGTTTGTTTGTTTGTAGCCTGGATAATTTGGGTTAAGATAATGTTTCAACAGGAACAGACCCTGAATTACTGAATCCAAAAGGGATGTCTTGGGTTGTTTCTCACGAGTGGTCATCAGATTTGTATTTCTGCAAAATGAGATTTTCCATATTTTTGTTAGACTTCAGCCAAAACTTTTGCTGTGTAGAAAGGGGAATGCAATTTTTCTTATGGTATCAATGAGTGAGAACATACAAATATATAAAACATTAGTGTTAATGAAAAGAAAAAAAAGCTAAAAAGTGTAAAAGTGAATCACCCTGTTAACATTTATCTGAACTTTCTGGGGGAGAAACCTGATGTCATAGACCACAATTAGAAAGGACTGCACTTAATAGGAACTTTGAGTAATTATATGAAACAGGACAAAATATTTAAAATACTTTTAAGTATCCTAAAAAAGAAGAAATATCACATTAAAATAACATTCAGAGATGATTATTGGCAGCTCCTAATTGCCAATCCCTCTGCTGGATGTTCAAGATACATTAATGCAATATAGACAATAGCCTGAGCCTTACCTTCCACAAGTTTACTGTTTGTTGGATTTTCCAGCATATTTAAAAGTGGAAAATGATAATGCAAAAGAAGAGGATCAATATATCCTGAAAGAAGAAAAAATTCCAAATGAAACAGAACTTTTTTTTAAATGTCCCACGAGTGTGTGTGTGTGTGTGTGTGTGTGTGTGTGTGTGTGAATCAGAAAAAAATATTTATTAAGGAAGAACTGAAAATTGACATATTGCTTCAATTACATTGTGTTTGGAATCATACATAATTTTTCTTTAGTTAATACTTTGTGAAATATATTTAAATATACTCCTGAATTTAACTGGTCACAAATCACTTTGTCAACTTCATAATATGCCAAGTTAGAGAAACACACAATAAAATAACATCTTTGGACAGTCGGTCTTCTTTAGAGCAATTGTAGTAAGGTTAGTGATACAGCAACAACACAAAACAACAAAAAACCAAATCAAATCGACAAAAAAGTCACTTTTGCTTTCACATTTTCCACATAGTAGGGCCTTAGGGATGACAATCCTGATGGTGGTGAGTGAGATTCTCATTTGTATATAAAACATATTGTCTTCATTTATACTGCATCCTTATCTGTGCTTGTCTGGAGAAGCTGCTAATGGAGATTATCAGGGGCTCACATCACATCATGCCACCTTTTTGAGTTGCCACAGTTGAGTTGCCATAGGCAAATTGGTATATTTTCATGCCACATAGCTACATGAAAATACACCAGTAACAGTGTAGAAGAGTTTTTTACTGGTCTCTATTCATAACCTACATTATCTGATTTCAGCCAAGATATTTTTTTAACTGATGGCTAAATGTTATTGAAAATTAAATCTCCTCTTAAGGATAAAACTAGATCAGTCGTCTCTTGAGTGAATTTCTCAGATTTAGTTGTAGAAAATATCATATGTATCTAATTCTAATTTGAATGTTAAAAATGTTAAAAAACTTAATGCCTGTGTATAAAGAGCCATTAAAAAGAAAATCTCGCCTTGACTCAGCCATTACACTTCCGGCAATCCAAACTATATAGAAACCTATGCCCCCAGAATTTATTGTTGTATGTTTAAGACAATTAATTTAAATAGCCAAAATATTTAAAAATGGTGAACAACTGCACAGAATATAAAATGTCTACTAGATGAAATGCTACTAGATACACTGTTATGTAGCTATTAAAATTGCATTCATAAAATATTTATAATAATATACAAATTAAATCTGTCATGGTTAATTCTATTATCATATAAAACTGCATAAAAATAATGAGTTCAACTATGATTACAGAAAATGTACATTATAGAGGCAGAAATAATTACATCAAAATATTGACAACAGTTGTCTTTGGTAGTGGGAATTTGAATCCATTATCTTTTCCTATTTTTTTGTACTTCATACAATAAGCATATTTTGATGTGTAAATACATAAACATCTTAACTATTTTGTAAATCCTGTTCTCTGATACACTTTAGAGCTACAAGCCTTTGGTTAGTTTCTGCAAAAGTTTTTTGTTCTGTGTTGCTTTGTTTTCGTCTCTATAAAAGAACAAACTTTTCTCTATGCTCTTACATCACAACAATCAACACAGAAGGTTTTTGTGACCAAGTGAGCTTGGGTTTTCCCACACACATCAAGCAAGCAATCAATTCTGCAGCAGACACAGGTTGAGTGTCCTCTAATTCAGTTCAATTCTAACACTATCCATCTGGAGTTAGCATCAGATCCCAGGGTGAGGACTCAGTTTTCAAGAATGCCCCCTCCCACCACTTCAGAAGTCAACAGAAAGGTCTGCCTCTTTCTGATGGACAAGCTACAAATCATTCCTACAAACCCTTCCTTTGGGTTCAGTTAATTTATTAGAGCTGCTTACAGAACTCAGGGAAACATGCTTACTTGTTTATCACAAAGGAAGTTACAATGGATATTGGTGAACACCAGATGAAGAGATGGGCAGGGAAGGGGATGAGTGTGGCAGTGTACAGCTTCCATGACCTCTCCAGGACCCTCCAGAAGCCCCCAAGTGTTCGAATATCCGGAAGCTCTTTGAACACTTCTTTTTGGGTTCTTACAGAGTTTTCATTACAAAGGCATGATTGACTAAATCACTGGCCATTGCTGATCACCTTAACCTTCATCCTCTTTCTCCTCTCCTGGGGGTGGGTTGGGGCAGAAAGTCCCAACCCTCTAATCCTGCCTTGGTTTTTCTGGTTAATAGCCCCATCCTGAAGCTACCTAGGGACTGCCAGCCCTCAGTCTACTAGTCAACTCAGTAGCATACAGAATTTATTACTTTGAAGATTCCAAGGATTTTAGGAATCATATGCCAAAAACTGGGGATGAAGAACAAATATATATATAATATCACACACCAAATTCTGAAATTGAAAATAACCAACCCTGCTTATGAAAGCATAGTTGTGATTTTTTGGGGGGAATCCTTTAATTCGTAAATTATATACTGTACCTTTACTACATATATGACTTTTCAATTATTTAATAAATTATTGATGGCATCATAGCATTAGTTTTAATATATTCATGTTGACTTGCTATCAACTCAAGGACTTCCTTTCAGCTAAATAAAATATATCCATGGGGAAAATTCTTGTAAAACTTTGTTTTATGCACTATTTTATTTACATCTCAGAGATCTAAATTATCTATTCTAAGATTAATTGGGCCAACAATATCTTAAGAAAAGAAATGACAGACTCTAAATTGGAAATTAAATATCAGTCCACTAATTAGTTAATAGATCTTTTAATACTGTCTCTAAGTGATCAAAATGTTCTGTGCTTCTGCTGACTTCTAGCACTGAAACTTGTTCTTAAAACCTGTAATCAGAGGAAAGAGTATAATGGGAATTGTAATAGGTATACCTTTTTTTATTAGCTATTCTCTGATATGCACTGATATGGATGCTTTGCATATGTCACAATTATGAGTAAATATACATTATATCTCTTCTGAAGTAGATATTTACATGCCTAGTTTACAAACAGAAACAACAGTAGAAAGGTTATGAAAATTGCCCAAATTCCAAAACCCAGAAAACTGACAGATTATCTTTGTATGGAGTCTCTCTCATGCCAGTCGTTTGTTGGTGGTGGTTTAATGTGGTCGTGGATCATATAGTAAATACTTTTCAAATGTTTCAACCATAGAGTTAAAACATCTTAGATATTTAAACTACATTTATAATTCATATTAAAAATATCAGCTCATAATTTTGTCATCCCCCAGTGTTTTTACAACTGATTATTGTATATAACTAATGGCCCCACCCTTCAGCAAAATGTCTTTAATATTTTAATATTCCTATTTTTACCATGCAATGGGACAGGCAATGTAAGGAGTGCCATATTTTCAAATTGAAGCCAGACATGGGAACATTACATAAAATGTATAAAATATACTTCCCTAAAAGAAAACGAACTCTCCAAGAGATAAAATAAGGAAATATACTGAGGCATTGACAGTAATTTGCCTTCACAGTGTCCTCCATAACTGGAGACTTAAGAAATATGAGTGAAGATATATGTCAGTAAATTGTAGGCAAGTAAGCAAGTGTTTTAATTATCTTCCTGTGATTTTCTGTCTAAATATGAAGATATCTAGAATCCCTTTCTCTATTCCAAGAACACATTTATTATTGTTCACTGACAGCATAAGTTTCTCCCTACCATCACATTTATTATTGTTTAATTAAACAGAGACAAGTCAAGTGGTTCAGAAAGAAACCAAGTAAATGAATCCCCATCAGTCTTTACATAATTAATGATATTCTCTGTAGACTGCACAATTTATTAAATTGCTGAGCAGAACCACTTCAGATACACATATTTATGTATTCTGAGTCAAAGACTATTCTAGAAACTGTAGAACATTGGAAACTAAAATAAGTCAGTGGATTTTTTTTAAAAATGTGTAAGTATGACAAAATTTAGGAGAGTAAGAACTATTAATAGTGCCCCATTACTTCTTTTTTCATTTTCAGAACCTTTAATGTAGTGCTATAGCAATTTTGAAAGTAAAATCACTTAAGAAAAATAATATGAAAAATTAAGATATTGGAAATAAAGTATATAATAAAAAAGTACTGATTTCTAGGGAAAAATAAATAATTCCCCACACTCAGACCAGATACTTTTCTCCCTATGGAGTAAATTACAAGTGAAATTTTACATTTGAATGAATCCGGCCATAGGATATATATTGTAATTATTAAAAGTCTAACATAGCAACTTGAATGTTTCAAGAGACTTGCTATTTTATATTTAATATGAGTGAAAATATGTTTTAGGAATATGTTTTTTGTTCCTTAAGATTAAGTTTTGTATACAGAGTCATAGACAGAAGTTTTATTCTTTCTGTCTCTGGGAGAGCACAGCAGTAATGATTCTCTATGAGGCTACCAACATAGCAAAATTAACCAGGAAAAAGCAGGCTCCTATGCAGAGCCTATTAATAAAGAAGGTAATGACCTCTAAGCATTTTATTTGTGTTTCGTTTAGGCAGAATTCTGTTTTGTCGTATTTTACACATTATTCACAATACTGTTTTTCAAGGACATATCACAGACTAAAATCACTGACCCAGATGACAAAAATTATAACATAAGTTTGTATTGTGAATGTCAATCATAGCTGTTAAAACTAATGTATGCTGTTAAAGAAAGAGTGTGTTGAACCATTCCAGCAAAATTTTTAGTGGGAAAATCCATTAAATAATTCAGGAGAAATTGTAATAATTAATCATTGGCCTTGAATAAATTGCTAGAAGAAAACAACATACTATGTTGTGCTTAATGAAACATATACGTGAAATTATTTTCAATTTCTGAAACGTATCATTTCAAATATAATGAGAATTCTTTCATTCATGAGTCATAGATAATATCAAAGCTGTCTTGGATGCTGTTAGGACACAGTATTTCTGGGATACTATTAATCAAACTGAAGAAAGTAAAAATAGGTTTATAAAGTAGTCTAGACCCAAAAGGGAGGATAGACATTAATTTCTTGTGTGATATATTGGATACATTAATATACAATGCATCTTTAGTACTTGACCTTAAGTGTCAAGAATATAATGCACCATTTCTCTTTTATAAGCAGTACTTTAAAGAGGTGTTTCTGGTCAACATTATTTTGTACTGCAAGGTTAAAATGATGAAATGCATAAAAACATGAAATACACAACTTATTAAAATGCAATTCACCAGTCCATGTTCAGGTGTTTCTTTAATGTCAGACCTCAACAACAACACTTTCAGATAAAAATTAATCATCAACATGATGCTGTATGGTAATGGCATGAATTTTATTTCCATTTAAATGTTTACATTTCTCTCAAATCACCAAATTAATAGTACCTTTAAGTCTACAATCAAAATACATATTTAGATTTGTTTCTTTTATGCTATTTTTGCAGCAATTTTTATTGATAGAGTATGTGGGTCCTTAGCTAACACCAAGTATTCATTGGTAATGATATCAAGGTAAGAGCTCTCAAAAAACAACATTGGCCTCAAATATTCACCCAAAACCTAGCTGTATGATTACTGCTTGACCAAGTGCCTTTGACAAAATCTATCTAAAAAAAATCAGACCTTACCTCCCTTTTCCAGTGGAGCCTTTTAAGGTATTCACAGCTTTCATTCTAATTTATTGTGACCCCATATATCTACAAGTGTAATTGGACTCTTAAAGTTTTTAGACCAATCCACCACTAGTAGCATAGTAGAATGTATCATGCGGTACCGTGAAAAATAATGGGAACTGAAATAAGAAAGACATTCATTTATATCCTGTCTAAATCAATTACTCTCTTGGAGACTTGGTTTTCTTTAATGGGGATTAAAATGCTTTCCATTCAAGATGTACTGAGTTTAAAATAAGCATCATACAAATAATATCTTGGTGTATGGTAGGTTTCCATAAATTTTATCTAGCTTCCTTCAAATAACATTATACAAATAACATACTACATTCCTACTAGATTTCCATCAGTTTTAGTTGAATCCTTTCAATCTCCTTCTTTTCATTTATCAATCATAACAATGTGTTAGACAACAGAAATTTTTTTTAGTTACAAAATACTTTCTTCAAACAGAACAGGACTGTGTTTTTTTTTTTTTTTTTTTTTTAACTCATTCATGAAACAAACATTTTTTGAGGCATGGTTATTAGCAAAAACATTCCAAATAACGAAAGAGTGGAGGATGGATAAATGAACCTGCTGTTGGTTTCTCCCTTTGTTCTAAATAATAGATGTAGACATATTTTAATAATAGCGATTAGATGAAAGTCTGCATTATATAGTTTAAATTACTTTAAAATCTCTGATGGAACTTAAAACAAGAGAACAAGTAACAGGAACTTGAGAGTTAGAAAAATATTTTTTAAACTTTAGGCAGAAATAAAGCCCAAAATTTTAGTATATTTCCTGCCAGATTATTTTATATCCTAGAGATACCATTAAGAAATGAAATAGAAACAAAAAGCTGTTGTAATGTAGAAACAGTTACCACAATTCAGTAAATACATAAGTAGGACTTAATTTTTTTAGTTCCTAAAGTATGTTCTTATTCATACTATATATGACTTTAGCAGACTTATTTACTTATTTATTTACTTTGAAGGAGGGAGTGGTGGTGTTTGGGTATATAAATAAATGTTAGCTGATGACAAAGCAACTCTTTTAATTTATGAATAAAAACTGCTAGGCATTAAAAGTTATTTCCTGAATTATCTATTTCCCAAGGTTTAAATCTTTAACTTAATACTCAATATGTAAGTTTTCATCCTGTGAAAAAAAAAATTACTAAGTGTAACAGAATTTCTATATTTCACTCTCTTCTGTCAAGAAAAATTTCTTTTAAAAGACTAATTATTTATAGTTGAAATAAGACTGATTAGTGTTGCTTGTTCCAATGACTAATTAATGAGGAAATGGCATGTCCTTACCCTTTGATTTCTTGCTGATTAATAAATCAATAAAGTATTACTGGAAGGAAAAAAAAAGCACAGAACCACACTCATATAATGAGATAATGGTTGCCCTTTTTCACTTTCTGAAAACTCATAGTCTGAAAAAAAAAAAAGTCCACATCATAAATGAAATTAGCTGGGCCCATTGCCAGACTTTTGAAGGAGGACTAGAATTGATGGCTCATGAAGATTAAATTATTTATTCACTCCTGGAACATGAAACACCAGGACAGAGTTGGGACACAGCCATTATGGTCGCAGCTTGTCATTGCCCTTGCTGCTGTGGGTTTCATTTCTTAATATACAGGAATTTCAAACTTCAGGTTTGTTATTATAGGTCAGTTCTTGAGATGGGCCTCAATCTAGTCCACATCTTCATGACACATCCAAGATAAAAATAACTGCTAAGATTTTTGGTGTTTCCCAGTCTGAGTTTCTAAAGACATCACAGAGTAATAAAAAAAAAAGTAACCTATATAATGTAGGCAGGCATTAGCCACCTTTGAGCCTTTTATGCTGTGTGGATATAACAGCTCCAAAGTGAGGAATTAGGGGCTTCATTGTAAACCCCTAAAACTTGAGCTCCTTTGATGCCTCTTTCTGTAGGTGATGCTGTCGCCATTTAAATACCTGGAAATGAGCCATATGAGGTGCAGAGCTAATCTTAAAATCCAAGTAGAAAAGACTTCAGCCTTCCATTGGCCCTCAAGAAGTCACAGTCAGAACCGGTTTGAGAGACAGGTAGGCTACCTCACTTACAACCCTACGAGTAGGCTGTCTCCCTAGCCACAGGATTCTCTGGGTCTCTTATGGGCACTGCATGCAAAACTTCCTTCACCTTGGATCTCTTAACTTTAGCCTCCTGAATCATCCTGTTCTTATGCAACATCAGCTATCATTTTGAACTCAACTAGTCCATTGCCTGAAGCATAAGAGTCCTAAAGTGTCAAGGCCAGTTGAGGCCTCACCCAGCTTTGTGATTTTAAGGCTGCACTTTTATAGATGCCACTGAAATATTCTTTAGATTTCATGAAATTTTGAGTTCACAAGACTAATATTTATACCTTAAAGAAGAATGCTTATAGATGATCTGGCTTTATTGCTGCAGACAGAATAAATTAGACATTTTTTACAAAAGTCAAATGTAAAAGTATAGTATCTAGGATTTTTGTGCTAGTACTTAAAATAAAGGAAATGTTTGAAATAAAGGGAAATTTATCCAAAATATAATTATGTAATCAATCAATTAATTCAAACTGATTTTAGTAAAACTTCCATCTATAGAACAGCTTTCTTTTAATGAATAAAATCATTAATGAAGGCATATTGTAAACATAAATATATGGACAGAATAGTCCAGAAAATACAGAATTTGGATGCGTTGCGTGAGTTGTCGAGGTGAAGAATAAAGCATCTTGGACAACAGGTTGAGCATTTCAACAAGAAGAAAACTTACTGTACAGGGCCTGGCTGCTGTGTGCTCCCCTAGATGCCTGAAGGTTCTGTCTCAAATATACCATTCCCACCTCCTCCCTTCTCCCCCAGATTAAATCTGTTAGTGTTTTGAAATACCCAAACTTTTCATGTTTTTAATAGACATTTTGAGTAACTCTGGACAAAAAGGCATTGCTAGATTATGATGAATATATGCACTCTGGAGTTACTATATCTGAATTCAAAAGGTGCCCTGAAATTTGCTCATTCTGCAGCCTTTGTTTGGTTACCTAAACTCTTTAAACCTCAGTGCTACCATATGTGAAGTGAAGATGATTGTCTTCCTATTAAGACTGTGTGGGACTTGAGTGATGTAGTACACAAAAGCACTTAATACATAAGATGACTTGGAAGAGAAGAGATACTAAAATGGTGTATTTTAATTTTTCTCCGCCTCCCGGGTTCAAGTGATTCTCCTGCCTCAGCTTCCTGAGCAGCTGGGACTACAGGCATGCACCACCATGCCCAACTAATTTTTGTATTTTTAGTAGATACGGGGTTTCACAATATGGACCAGGCTGGTTTCAAACCCCTGGCCTCAAGGGATCTGCCTGCCTTAGCCTCCCGAAGTGCTGGAATTACAGGTGTGAGCCGTTGTGCCTGGCCTGAGTATACTGTTAATATAGTTTTCCACCACCGGTTACCAGGCTATACCTATATCATAAATCAAGTAATCCTATAAATCTCTTATCAGAAAAATATAGCTATTATCCCCACTAACCATTGCAAGACTGACGGAATTCTAATATTTACCAGAGTACTTTGGTCTAATGGCAAGGGGGCCAAGTTCTCTGTTGCACTGTGAATGGGTTGTCGGGTAAGACAGACAAGACTACTTCATTTTTTTTTTTTTCGTGGTCACATGTGTCTAACCCTGGACGGTCATCTCATTTCCACACACTTTTGTTTTAAGGTAAGAGGCCTAAATAATTAAGAACCAATCAACTACCCTGAGATAAGATTTTGCCTCAATAGTGGAACATAACACCTGAAAGGAAAGTGAAATTGAATGTTGATTTTGGAGAAAAGAAAGAAGAATGAAAGCAAATTTTTATGTGTTGACTTAGATAGAGGCCTTGCAAACATAAACACATTTAACCAGCAAACAACTCTAGGGCCCTTTGCACCAAACGATGCAAAATAAAAATGCATTAATTTCATTCCAAAAGCTGCATCCGTGCACTTTATGTAAGTTGCTTAAAGATTAGGAAATCAGTTACTGTGCATAAAGTTGACCTTCATTTCAGACATCTGAAAAAAATATAGTTTTAAGTTAGGATGATGATAATTTTCCTCCGGCAATTTCGAAAGAGGTGTAATTTTGTAGCTAAAGTCGAAATCTTGAAAGAAAAGTCTACCTTTCAAATATGAATTCTTAATCATTACCTTGATGTAAAATCAATTACCATTACCAAGCAAAAATAAGTAAGTGCTCACTTTTTTGTGAAGGTGACATTATTCTTTTAATGCTGTATTTTTAATATTTTCCTTTTTGCTTTATAATGGGCCCACTTAGATGTATTTTTGTTTTCCTTAGTCCAAATTTTAGTAACAGTTTTGTGCTTTGGATCCTGTCCTGATGGGTTTGTAATAATTTTTACAGAATTTTTAAAGAGATATTACCCTAAAATATTAGAGTTCCATATAGGTTCTTGACCACAAACTAGCAGAAATGTGAATAGGTATATTGGAATAGCTTGGCCACTTCAGAATTAGTGAGTCAAACATGAGGAAATACTATAAACTAGAGACAGCAGACCTAGAATTTATATATTATTTATTCAACATTAACAGTATTATCAGTAAATATTCTAAAATTACAGTAATGCTATTAAGGAAAGAATTTTCTGTAGAGTATATAAAGACAAATTCTATATTTTTTAAGTTTATTAATTAAGTATATTAAAATTTCTTATCACAGAATGACTATGAATAATAATAATTCATCCATAGATAGATACAGCTTTTCTGGTCTGTAGAAACTGCTAAAATCTTATCGGATTCATATACTGAAATTTTATATTTTGTCATGCTGTAATGCTCATTCAAAGATATTAAGATTCTGATAAGAAGTGTTTTCTAAAAGCAAAATAATATTTTTGAAAATCCAGGATATATAGTTTAATATACAGAGCTTCTTAAAAATACATCCAGATCGCAGAGTGTATTCAACTAATAGTGTGTGAAACAATTAATCACTGGGGGTCAGTTTTCTAATTTAAAGTGAGGTGGTTTGGCCTGAAGTACATTATTTTGAAGCCCCTACTATGATTCTGTGAACTATTTGACTTACTAAATAAATGTGGATGGAAGACGTAGCATTCACCAATGGTCCAGGGGATGCTAAAAACAACAGAACCCTTGCTAGATTGACCTAATTGGGAGTCTGGTGTGTCCCTGTTTTAAGATGGTGAGTTATCTAACAGGCACAGAACATTCAGCCCAGGTATGTACCCTACCTTTAATCATCTGGACGTATAATGATTTTGAGCATTAGATTCCCAAAGTCATGAATCCTGTTGAAAGAGCACCAATGAAATTCCAAATTGACCAGAGTATTTTGCCATAATATTATCAGGTTATTTTATGAGTAATTACATTTTATTATAGCAATTAAGACATCTAATTTTGCCAGTATGGAACAACTAAATATGAGTTTAAGTTTGAATGATGAGAAGATTTCAACTTCATCAGGGTGATGAAAAGGTACATAGAATGGTCATGAAGTAGAATGAAATACAGTTAGAAAATACTGATCACTCCAGCATGTCTAGGGCATGGGGCCCTTATAGACACAAACAAAATGCTCTTCATAGGTGATGCTTGGTTTCTGTTCAGTACATTGTGTTCTTCCAGGTGACTAAAATTGATTATTTGATGATGCCTGCTAATATCTCCCCCTTACTGGAGTTAACCTGAACATGAGATGCTGTGATTGCCAGGGCTGTCTTGTGCTTAACAGTGTTCCTCATTGATTCAGTCTGAAAGTCTAAAGTGCTCTCAACAGTGTAGCCCCTTATGCCATTGGACGGCTACTGTAGAAGTGTCCTTGGAAAACACTGAATTTTATCAACGACTGGGGAGTAGTTGATTAATTTTTAACGTACTTGCTTCTATAAATCTAAGTTGCCATTTCCAGATTAATTTCATTTCAGCAGAGTTGTTTATGTGCATATAAAGGTATAATTTTTAAAAAGTGAAATTTCAATACATGTCCAATTCTGTTGGCAAACCTCAAAATTTAAAAGAAGCTTTCTTTATATTTTTAAATTATGCTTCTATGGTAGCCATAAATCTCAGTGCACTTTTCTGAGTGGAAGCCTTGGCTATTGATCAACCTTTGGTCTTCTGCAGCTGAGTTAAATATCATGGAAACATTAGTGTTGAAAACTAAATAGATGAAATTGTAAAACCTACTTTACTTAACTCAGTGACAGTAGTATTTGTCATTTATTTACATGACGACACTGAAAATCAATCAAATGTCAGATTCCTTTTAACTACTTTAACAGAATATGTGAGATTGTTGTATGTTGGGCAACTCAAGAAGTAATTTATTCAAACCCTAATGCTGGAAATTAAATAATATGACTAGAATGACTACTCTGGTTAGTAGAACACTTTTCATCAGAAAGTTGTGAGTTAAAAGATTTTAAGTAACCCAATGGGAACTAGATTCAAATATCCCAGTTCCCAAGCCATGTTCTCTAATTCAGATATAAATATTAGCAATAAGGATGAGTACCTCATAATCTTTGTGTTTCCGTCTGTAGAAATAGCTTAATGCCACCTGTCAACCAATGTCTGAATAAACTAAATTTGGTAAATAAGATGCCATCATTGTTTTTCCATGGAATTCAGAGGATTCGGTTACTGAAATCCATGGCATTAATTTTTCTGCCTAACAGCCTACACTCTATATTGATTTTTCATATAGATTAAATTTCCTTTTTAAATTTGCATTGACTCTTTAGGCTTCGGTTTCCTCATCTGAAAAGCTGGTAAAACAATAGTGCTAGGAAGAGGCTTCATTGTGAAGTCAACAAAGATTACACCTCAAGGCTACATTTGCAAGTGCCTACACAATATATGTGCATTGCTATATGTTGTTGTAAAATTTTTGAATAAGACATTAATGCATTCATTTTCTTAAAGAAGGACTCTCATATTCTTTAAAACTCAGACCCCACAATACCCAGATCTACTTTTATACAAAATCCCTAAGGATGTGATAAGGACTAAATAAGATCATGTAAATGCTCTTTTTTTGCAAAGTATGTGCTTAAATATAAACTGTTGTCATTATGAAAGTCATTCAGTGTAGGGTTCTATACAGTTCAGGAGTCAAAATACTCACTTGATACAGTGACTGTCATTGTATTTACCATTCAACATTGTTTACATTTACATACCTGGCTTTGTTATTTCCAGAAGGGAAAATCCACGTTCACCTTGTTTGCCTTTCAACCCCAGACACTAGGATGGTGCATGGCACACTGAAGACACTCAATAAATATTTATTTTATTAATGAATATGAAATATGACTTAGCAGTACAGAATAATATTCAAATTGTGAAATAAAATACACTGAGGATCAACACTGTTATTTAAAAGATTCTGTTGATCCTAAATTTTACAATGAGTCATTAAATGTATTGCTCAGCTTTCATAATCTTCAATCTATAATGGTTTATTTTTCAAAAAGGCTTTAATTTCCTTGGATTGTTGTAAAGTTCAGAGTTATTCCTTTAAGAAACAGGCTATATTGCATTGCAACAATAACCCCAGAAAAATAACATTAGTAGAAATAATATAATTAAATATTCATATAAGATAATTGACTTATCTGCTTTACTCAAATGGATTTTAATGATAATATTGGACTAACCCTATGTGACAGCATCTGCTGCTTTTATGCACTGTCCCCTTACCTCCCTCGGCCCCCTGCTTTGCCAATCCTTCCGAACATACCCTGGAACATTTGGCTTAAAGTTTCAGAAAATCTGCTCCGTTTGATAATGTCAACTCATCACATTTCAGTTAAGCAGACATCAAATCAAATGACTCATGTCACAGATACATAAATATTACGTACATGGAAAGGAAATTTTTAGCTATAAATGCATAAAATCTTCTGGTTTGTAAACCTGAACTACATTTTAAAATTTTGACAGTAAGAGGAAACTGATGTGAAACTAATACATAACTCTCAAATAATCCAATGGCCAACTGATTTGGAAGCTACTCATACAAAATAATACTTGCGTTAAAAAATGTCCTTTCCTTAAAGTTACTATCTTAACAAATGTACAATCATAAATCTACTAAAGGTAAACATCATTTCTTATAAGAAGGATATATTGAACTGCATACACATCTTACTGTCTTCAAATTCCTTCAAAAATATAATTAACCCATCCACCTTATCAGGGTTAGCTCAAGGAAATTCGAAACCATCATAAGCTAAAAATCGTTATGTGATTGAACCTCATCACTAGATAAGTGATTCTGACAAAATTGCCATTTTATGGAATTGATCAGAAATGCCATTCCAAGAAAGAGGGTTCGCCTTATGAAAAACCATATATATTTTTATATCTATATTATCTTATATGAATAATATATATATATTTTTTTACTTGCCTTTGGAAAGAACTTTGTAAAATTTGTTAAACTTCCTGTATGGAATGAAGTACCTTATTACACATTTCTACTCTTGTTAAATAACTGGGGGAAATGTGTTATATCTAGGCCTCACTTTATAAATATTTGTTGAACTTATTGAATTCAGACAAGGAAGGCCAGAGGGGTTTGTGTGAGCTGTTCTCTGCCGTCGGCTGATATCGCATTTGCTTTGATAAATAATATTTTACCTTCCCATTTGGGTAATGCCTGCCTTAGGTTGAGTTCTTCTTAAAGCAGATTCTTAGATGAAGATTCATACAAGTGGTTTATTTGTGAATTGAAAGAAATACATGGGGTTATGGGGAAATGAGACAGGGAAGGGAGGCCAGTTGCTAAAGTCAAAACAGGTGCCTCTAAGCTAGCTGCCACGGGAAGGGAATGTAGATGAGTGTCCATATGTCAATGCCATTGGTCATTAGATGTTTTTGATGAGGACTGCTCCATGATGGTTCATTTCCTGGCTCTTGCAGGCTGTCATGAAGGTGGCAAATGAGTCTTCAGGGACAGGAGAGCACCCTCAGGAAAAGAAGCCAAGAAGCCAGGGGTTGGCTTTCTCTTGGAAGTTAGGCAGTGGTTGATGAGGTGATCAAGGTGGGAGATATGAGTGGAGAACAATCAGCGTCTGCCAGAATGACAACCATTTTTCACATCTTCCTTAATATTTTAAAAAACAGATATATTCTAAGACTTTTCTTATAATGACTAGAGAGGGTTTTAAAAAGTGGTTTTATATTTGATGGAACCCTTGTTGGTGCTGCAGTTAAAGAGTTACTTCAAAATCCTGCCTCAGCACACCCTGTTCCTTTTTCTTTGCACTCCCCGAAGCCAATGTTTCAGAAGCAACTGCCGATCAGCAGAATTCATCTGTTTCTCCCACAGGGCTAATCCCTGACCGACCTGGAAGCCAAGCCAGGCTCTAACCTGGCAGACTCACTCTTCTCCTGCTCCTCTTTTACGTAATCCCATGCTTATTGATTCTCTAGAAAATCTGTTTTCCTTTTGCTCAAAGCAGAGTACAAAGCAAGAAACTGCCTCGCACTCTGGAGAAAACACATGAAATCACAAGCTAACCAGTGACTGTCATTCCATAAAATAGCAGTTCTATTAAAGTGCATTATGTAAAAATGGGATTTGTACTAGAGTTGTTTTATAGGAGGTTGGTTTATATCATCACCTGTTTCATTGAAAATTTGGTCGGTGATGAGTCATCCATAAAACTGGCAGAATAAAACTTCAGGAGTGGCTGTTGTAAAGTTCTTCTAAGGCTCATAAAACCGGGTTATGCGCTTCCACAGTTTTGATATTGCTCAAACATTTCATCAAAAGAACGTGAATATCATCAGTGCTACATTTTAATTTGATTTTTAGGAACTTTCATTTTTAACTTTCCTTCCATGACCCCTGATCTTTTATTTGAAAGTATGGGAACACTTGACCCATTGTTCCTCTTCACATTGGATCAGAGAATACAAAAGTTAAACTCTTACACACTGCTATAGATAAGAGAGAGTTTAAATGTTAGTTATAGAATAAGAACCTTAACGCTTTTGTGATTATATAAAAATAAAAGCTAGCATTTGCTGAACATATGTACTGTTTCAAACATTACATTGACTTATGACTCACTGTTTACGTTCATTGCATCACATACTCTTTATGACAATCCTGTGAAATAGTTGCTCTTTTCTTAACTTTTATTTCAGGATCGGGGTACACATGCAGGTTTGTTATACAGGTAAGTTGCATGTCACAGGGGTTTGGTATACAGATCATTTCATCACCTAGGTAATAAACATAGTACCCAATGGGTCACTTATTATTATCCACACGTATTAATACTTAGAAGAAACCTGAGGCGCAGGGAAATTAAATAACCATTTAAGGTAAGAGTCAGGAATCAAACCCTAGTTTCTCTACACGAAAGTATGCTTTAAAAAACTCTACTGTGTTATGAAATAATATGTGCCCATGTGAAAGAAATATATAGACAAAATTAATCTAGGATGGAAAATATCACAGTGGTGGTTGCCTCTGGGTGGGGGGATTGAGACTGACCTGGAGGGAGCATGAGAGAACTTTCCAGGGTAATTGAAGCCTCCTATCTTAACCAGCACATAGTTATATATAGATTGTAAGAGTATATGCATTTGTCAAAACATATTCGGTGGTAACACTTAAGATCAATGTAAT
Source organism: Homo sapiens (assembly GCF_000001405.40). Taxonomy (NCBI): domain Eukaryota; kingdom Metazoa; phylum Chordata; class Mammalia; order Primates; family Hominidae; genus Homo; species Homo sapiens. The sequence continues at coordinate 146,217,874 of NC_000007.14, forward strand.
GTTGTTCCCCTCTTAACTTATGGATACTAGGCTTAATATATGGGTGATGACATAATCTGTAAATAAACCTCTATAATACAGGTTTACCTATGTAACACACCTGCACGTATATCCCTGAACTTAAAATACATGTTTTTTAAAAAGATCAATGTATGGACCAAAGGCAAATTATACAGGCACACCTTCCCAGGTGTGCTATCCTCCCACCTCTGTTTTTAGTCATAGAATCTGAATGGAAGCAGCCACTGCCCTCATCCTGATCCCCAAACCACGTGAGAGTTCAAACGTTGTGCACAAGACCCAGTCCAGCCAGTAAGAATCCTTACCAAGAACTTTTATTAAAACATTGCCATCGGCCGGGCGCGGTGGCTCACGCCTGTAATCCCAGCACTTTGGGAGGCCGAGGCGGGCAGATCACGAGGTCAGGAGATGGAGACCATCCTGGCTAACACGGTGAAACCCCGTCTCTACTAAAAATACAAAAAATTAGCCGGGCGTGGTGGCGGGCGCCCGTAGTCCCAGCTACTCGGGAGGCTGAGGCAGGAGAATGGCGTGAACCTGAGAGGCGGAGCTTGCAGTGAGCTGAGATCGCGCCACTGCACTCCAGCCTGGGTGACAGAGTGAGACTCTGTCTCAAAAACAAAAACAAAAACAAAAACAAACAAACAAAAAAAATTGCCATCAAGGTTAAAATAAATAAACGAAAAAATAAAAATATATATATTTCTTTTTTTTCCCCTGTGGTGAGAAATCTGTAAGGACATGAGTACTACTTGCTGACAACCAAGTCCTCCACTTTTGGAGAAGGTAGTCTAACACTTCAAATGTGGCTAATTCAACTAATGAACTTTTATTTAATTTTAATTAATTTAAATTTAAATAGCCACACATGGCTAGTAGCTAACACACGGAATGGCAAAGCTTTGGGAGAATGAGTCAGATATCCACAGGGTGTAAGACATAAGTAATAAGAAGAAAGAGCCCTGATGGAACTGGATCTCTCTGGAAGGGCAGCTCCACCCCTGCCCTTCTTGTAATCTGGAGATGTAAGTGTATTAGTCCATTTTCACGCATTATAAAGACACTATCTGAGACTATATAATTTATAGAGGAAAGAGATTTAATGGACTCACAGGTCCACATGGTTGGGGAGGCCTCAGGAAACTTAACAATCATGGCAGAAGGCAAAAGAGACGCCAGGACCTTCTTCGCAGGGTGACAGGAAAGACAGAAAAGTTCAGGGGAAATTGCCATTTATAAGACCATCAGATCTCACGAGAAGTCACTCACTATCATGAGAACAGCATGATCATAAATCACCTCCCACCAGGTCCCTCCCTCCACACGTGGAGATTATGGGGATTACAATTTGAGATGAGATTTGAGTGGAGACATAGCCAAACCATATCAGTAAGCTAATGAATACACATGCCTTCATCTCTGCAAATGATTCCCCTCCAGAATATTACCCTTTAAAGTTACGATTAATAACATAAAAATCTTTATAATGCTGTTTGTAAAAAGCATAAAATGCAAATGTGTGGGCTGAGGTAACACTTCACTATAACTAAGTTTCCATTTATCTAACAAATAATTAGTAGATAAACCCAAATGGCTAATTATTGTAAACTTTTCCATCTTCATAAAAATGGAAGATAATATAAATAGACGAACAGCACTAGCACCTTCAGGGCACCAAGAAGACAGGAGGCTGAGGCTTGGAAAGAACAATCTTCACAACTTTTTCTAGGATTGGTTGTGTTAATTTTCAAAAGTCTCAGGTAAATGAGATGGGTCTGGAGCAATACCTTTGCATGATTTATGTGATTTTTTTTACACTTGAATTACTTCAAGGAGCTTTCCAAAGAATGTTTTAACATACTGTGACCAATAATGTCAGAGCTGATGGCAGCATCTGTGATTATACTTTTGAATTCTGGCTGGTAGTGTCAGATTTGTAGACTGACATTATTATTTTTATAATAGAAGTTATAAGAACACAACTCTAAAGATTATGGCTCATAGAATTTTAGAGGTGGAAGAGGCCCTTAGAGAACATCTAGTACAGCCCCTTAATTTTACAGATGAAGAAACAAAAGCCCAGGAGAGGCAAACTGAGTTGCCACAGGTGATGACACCTAATTACTGATCGAGCTGACACTAAATCCAGTTCTCCTAATCCCCAAAGCTTGCTGTCAGTGAGCCAATCCCAATACATCATACCATTCTGACTTTTGCCTTTTCAAATGATGTCTTAATTACCGTTGATATATTTTATAATTTTGTAGGAGCTGACAAATTTGTCAGGACAAAATTTCATATAATGTGATATATTTTGTGACTTTGGCGTCAAGGAATGCTTGTATAAGATGTTTGCCCTTCATGAAAATCTTGAAGTATTGGGGAATGCATGCTAAAAAAAAAAATCACTAGTTTTCAATGAAATTTTCCAGCTAGGTCTAATATCAATGTATGCAAAATTATCTTAAAATTGTCTGTATTTGCCACCTATATCATCATTTACAGTATGATAGTTGCAGGAAGGACACAAGCTCAGATTTGGGTAGACCAGGTTCAAGTCAGCCACAGCAACTTCTTAACTGTTCAGGCTTTGTTTGTTCTTGTGAAAAAGAGATTAAAATTGTACTAGTATAGAAAGCACCTGGTATTATAGTTTGTCCTATAGAGATAATAAATATATAGTAAAACTTAATGAATTGGATTATACACTAGAACATTTTCACATTTGAACTAATAGTGTGATTGTTATGTAATAAATGTGGTTAATAAAATATTGATACAGTATAAAATATATAATATCTGATTAATACTAATATAATTCTGTTACACAAAAACTTTTAAAACGTTATGAATGAAAAAAATTAGTTATAAGCATTTGAGAAGATTTTGCCTGGGATTTGGAATTATTGGAAACCTAGTAGATCCATCTTCTTGCAGACCTAGAATAGAAACACTTTGGAACTGAAAAGAGAACAAGAGATAAAATTTTGTTGCACTGCTTTCTGTTCACCTTCCTCCTGACCCTTCAAATATTTCATCCCACCCAGTCTGAGGCCTATGCCCAAAGTTTGATTATACATTGTTATTAGATAATGTTTGTGCCTATCATCACTGAGAAGTACTTCCAGAGTCCAGAGTCGTCTTCACTTGCATTATACCACAGGTTGGTCCTTAATCCGTGTGAGAATGAATCTGCATGAGTTGAATCACTCCATTTCTGAATGGACCCTGCAGGTCCTCTTCCCACAACCATGAACAACTTTAGGATATTGTCACTTTTGTAACTTTTTTCTTTCCCACATCCTCACAATATCCTCCCTTTGTGTCCTTCCCAATAATGCTCACACATGATTCAATAACTGCAACAATTTATACTGAAGGCTATATATGCAACAATATATACTGCAACAATATATACTGAAGGATATACTGAATTTATACAGAAGGATATACGTATAAATATACGTTTAAATATACTTTTAAATATACTTATATTTAAACAATATATATTGCAACAATAGATACTGAAGGATATACTGAATTTATACAGAAGGATATACATATCCACTGCTTCAGATCCTTGTCTTAAACCAATCTGGAGATATTCAAATTATTGATAACCCTCCAGACCTGGAATCTGAAGCTGTAGACCTGAAGATTAGCCTGATATATTTATTTTCCCAATATTTATAATCAATCAGATAAAGAGTCCGATATTTTCTGGGTAAAATCCTAGGTAAAATATCAAATAAAATTCACTGGAAGTACTCATTATATAGCAGATTACTGAATGACTAAAAAACCTAATAGAGAATTCTGTTGTGAGAGCACTTCTAACATAAATTTATTTTATAATGGCAAATTTCATTAGAATTCAGAAAATGTAATGTCTATTCAGGACTGTTTACTTCTTAACATATTAAAGACAAACTATATTTTGCTAGGTGAACAAGTATTTTTCTTAAGTCAATACAAAGGATTGGAAAATTAAATTTTCATTGCATTCAAGGAAAAGACAATGAGGTTCCTATCATTTATGTATCCTCAGTGCCTAGCATGGTAGCAGCACATCACTAATTCACAAGTGTTTGTGAAAGGAAGGAGGGAGGACAAAAGAGAAAAGGAAGGAAGAAGGTTTGTTACAGCATGTCAAGAAGGTGGAAATAGAACTTAGATTCAAGACTCTGGTTTTTGATTTCCCTTTGAAATACCCATTTTTTAAAAATGCTTATGTTACCTAGAAGTGGTAATTACTAAGTCATTCATTCTAGCAAGAAACATCTGAGCTGCTACTATGTGCAGACACCTCTGGGGATACAATACAGGTGAAACACAAGCCACTGCCCTCCAGATATCCACAGGCTGACAAGAGAAAGGATACTTTGTACATTTCTGTAAACTGCTATCAAGAACATAGTAATGTCCTGTAGCCCAATGATGGAAGGAGGCTGGAAAATGGCAAGAGAGCAAATAAATTTGGAGAATAATTGCTTGAGCAAAATTTGAACACTTAAGAGAAAATCAATGGTCAGATATGTTAAAAAGATGGAATTCCTGGTAGAGAGGATGGCAAATGAAAGGATTGGGGCATGAAACTGTGGTGAAATTTCCCTAAACATTCAGTTAGTTTGGTATGACTAAAGCATAGTGTGTGTGTGTGTGTGTGTGTGTGTGTGTGTGTGCGTGCACATGTATGTAGGTATATGTGCATGTGTATGCATACATGGATGTATAGAACATAGGGTAGGGGTGGGAAAAGGTAAATTTTTTTTTTTTTTTTGAGACGGAGTCTCGCTTGTCGCCCAGGCTGGAGTGCAGTGGTGTGATCTCAGCTCAATGCAAGCTCTGCCTCCCAGGTTCATGCCATTCTTCTGCCTCAGCCTCCCAAGTAGCTGGGACTACAGGCGCCCGCCACCACGCCCAGCTAATTTTTTTATATTTTTTTTAGTAGAGACGGGGTTTTACCATGTTAGCCAGGATGGTCTCGATCTCCTGACCTCATGATCCGCCCGCCTCGGCCTCCCAAAGTGCTGGGATTACAGGCATGAGCCACCGCACCTGGCCAGGAAAAGGTAAATTTTTTAAGATGACAGTGAGGACACTTGGTCAAGATGAAACAATAGTAAGATCAGGGACTATGTATGATGCCTATATGTGCCAGGCACTGTTGTAATCATTTTATACACACTAACTTATTCAATGAACACATAGACACAAACCCACACACCTTTGAGCTATATCCCATTGTGATCATCCTGAGGTACACAGAAAGTGCTTTGTTCTTGTCACAGAGCTAGGAAGCAGCAGAGGCAAGAGTTGAAACTAGCCAGTCTGTAGAGACTCGCATATTTCATGCCAAGATGTTTGGACAAGAGAGGAACTGAAGCATGCTAATAACGTGATTAATATCCCTAGATTCTGACTAAGTTTGTGGAAGTTATTTATAAGGAGGAAAGCTGGAGAACCAAGGCAACAGGTCTTCTTGGGGTCAGATGCAGTAGCTCAAGATAGCAGAAAGAGGTCAGTGAAGAGACTTTGATCTAGAACACTGAGACCTGGTCACTAGCTTCAGTAAGAGTGGACATGGGGAGGACTCACTGTCACCCTTCTGTCTAGTTTAGGTGAATGAGTGAGAATGAGGAGTTTGATTTCCTTAGTGAACCTCCATAGGAAGTGTCTGGCACACAGCTGGAATGCATAAGATACAGCTCTGGCAATCTTGACTCTAGACAAACATGGAGTTACTATCTTCTTAACTGGAATAGGTAGAAATATAGGACAAATACCACTGTCAAGCTTCCCGCTTTTCACTTTTATTTGTTATTATAATGTAGCTATGGAAGATATGCAAAGAAGGAAAATAAAGTAACCTCCACACCAAAGTATTATTATTAATAAAAAATAAACACCTAGCTCTTATCCTAAAGAGGTTATTACCAAGTGGTGAGAAATAGTTATAAAGTATAATAAGTACATATAAGCCTTAAATTTCCAAACAGATTTGCATAATTTAGCATAGCTTGTGGGTAATGATGATGATAAAATCACTAAACATCTGCTAAGCATTTAAACAACATTTTCCTTCCGTTAGCATCAGTTGCTGGAAAATAACATACTTTGGCTCAAATTGTCCTGTTAAAAATATAGTTTGGGGCCAGCAGAATTTTATTCATGCTTTTATATGGAGTCTCCACTTTTTTCTGTAAATGTATTTATAGCCAAAAGCTTTCACCAGTTAGGAAATGCAGCAGATGCCAATAAGTACATTCATTATTTTGATTATGGCAATGTCAGACTTTCAGAAAACTTCCTCCATCTCTATCTGTAGCACAACCTCACATAGGGAGGGACCATGTGCTGGTCAGGAAATAAACAGCTTTCTGGCAGGAGTTAAATGAAAATACTGTTTATTACTCTTATAAGATGTTATAATTGACGGTTTTATTGTAATACAATAGCGATTATGACATGTTGTCCCAAACCCTAATTTTGTTGTTTTGTAGCAAGTTACGTTTTTATCAAGGAACACAGTGGTTTAAAAAAAAAAAAAACCCAAAAAACTAAGATTTGGGGCCGGGCGCGATGGCTTACACCTGTAATCCCAGCACTTTGGGAGGCCGAGGCGGGCGGATCATGAGGTCAGGAGATTGAGACTATCCTGGCTAACACGGGGAAACCCCGTCTCTACAAAAAATACAAAAAAAAAAAAAGTAGTAATAATAAAAGTAGCCGGGCTTGGTGGTGGGCGCCTGTAGTCCCAGCTACTCAGGAGGCTGAGGCAGGAGAATGGCGTGAACCCGGGAGGCGGAGCTTGCAGTGAGCTGAGATCGCGCCACTGCACTCCAGCCTGGGTGACAGAGCGAAACTCCGTCTCAAAAACAAACAAACAAACAACAGCAACAAAAACGAAGATTTGGATAATTCATGTGTCTTTTGTTTTGATCTCAGAATTTCCTCATTAACAGATGTGAAATAATTTACCAAGTTTTTCTTCAAATTGACTAGGCCTGTATAAAATAACAGAAATGCCCTTTGCAGTGAAAGCACTTTGTATTAGGGATTGATCACTCAATTACATTCTGGATGAGAAGAAAAAAAAAATCCTATTGGTGTTTTTATGTGATTACATTTAGGGAGAAAAAGTTTGGAAAGCTAAGAATCTTTTGTGGGAAGACAAAAAGAAAGAGCTTTTAAGGGGCACTTTGAATACAGAGAGTGACTTTAGATAGCTAGCAATGCTGTTTAAAAGTTACATCATGGCTTTAAGCAAAATCAACAGCAGTGAAACAAACTGAACAAGCAGAAAAAAATATAACTCGAAACACTGATGAGTAGTAGTTTTTGAAAGTGAATTCATCCAATAAACTACATCAAATAAAGGCAAATAAAGACAATCTAAGCTTCATTCACAAAGTACATAGAGAAAAATGCTTGAAAATATATCACATCCAGGAAGAATTTTTTAAACTGACAGGTGAAGTTATTTTACTATATATAAATTCTTTAAGGTGGCAGATATCTTGTCAAATGACCACCCTTACAGGAGGACAGTCAACTTGATTCTAATTAATAAACAAAGTTTTAGTGGAAATCCTAGAACACGTAGATTCATGAGACTCAGCATTCAACTTGGAAACCCGCAGAAACTGTGTATCTAAGCCACTCTAACCAAATAGAAGAAAACCTTCTACATATTATGTGCCAGGGAGACGTTAGGCATTAGCAGTGCACAGACAGTCATGGTTCAGGCTTTGACGCTGATGACAACTGGTGGAATGTGTGTTATCTACCCTGTTATTGTACTAACCTATCCTCTATCCTCATCACACAGTATGAGAACTACAGTAGCTTGTCTTCTGCCTAAAATCTCCTACCACTTCCACAGTCATTTAATCTGCCAGCTCACTGTTATGCTGGTATTTTTAAGAAATAATTTCATATAATTAGTCTCTTTCTGGATGAAACACTGCTAAGGTGTTTATTACTAACCTAAATTCAGTCCTTTTCAGCTCTTTCACTCTTTGTAATCCAATTCCATTCTTTGCAGCCAGTATTCATTTCTGCTTGTTCTGAAATCTATCCCATCACTTAGGATTTGGAAACTAGCAGACATGAAGATTGGCTACAAAGAATGTAACTAGATTTTTAAACAGATTTAGCTCTAATCCCATTTCTTAGAACAATTCCCAACTTGAAACAGGAAATATCTAGATGGTTTCACTGTCCGATTCTGTGGTGACCCAACCTCTTAGCACTCAGATTCTGCCTCGGCCCTACTGAGATTACTAGTCTTACCCAACATACAACTTCCTTCCACATCTACCAGGTTGAGGAATGAAGCAAATTATGTGAAATAGGAGAAATACTTTTAGAGGAAGCTTGAGTATTGGTGTATTGGGATAATTTATATGGGATGGTAAAGTTAGAGGGTAGATGATGGCACTTCATTACATCTGCAAAATTTTAAAAAAAATTATCCTAGGGCTAGGCATGGTGGCTTACACCTCTAATCCTAGCACTTTGGGAGGCTGAGGTGGGAGGATCCGTTGAGCCCAGGAGTTCAAGACCAGCCTGGGCTATATAGTGAGACCCCAAGTCTACAAAAAATACAAAAATTGACCAGGCATGGTGGTGCACACTTGTAGACCCAGGTACTCTGGAGGCTGAGGTGGAAAGGATTGCTTGAGCACAGGAGGTTGAGACTGCAGTGAGTCAAGATCATGTCACTGCACTCCAGCCTGGGAGACAGAGTGAGACCTTGAGACTTTGCATCAGAAACAAAACAAAACAAAACAAATAAACAAACAAACACGTTCTGGAAGTAGTATGAATGGTAGGTTGAGAGATGAGGGTAAATTCAATTGAGAAAGGGATGCAAATGAGAACATAATTATTAGTAATCTAAAAGAGAAATGGTGAGGGGAAATTTTTAATTAAGATAAAGTAAAATAATGGTGAAATCATGAATTTTTTTATTTTGTATTTCATTTTTAAAAATCATAACCACATGTACACTTCATTACTTTAAGAAATGTTACTTTTGAAAGAAAAAATAGTCATATCCATTGACTCTCAAATATTCTTATGAGTTATTTATACTAAATGAATGAAAAAGGCAGAGAATACAACTATGTATAAAATATGAGCCCAATTTTTTAAGACACACTTATGTATAGATAGGCATAGAGAGACAGATGGGTTAAGAGATATTAAGAGAGGAATGATGAGAGAATAGAAAAAAACTTTAGGGGCTGGGTGTGGTGGCTCACGCCTGTATTCCCAGCTCTTTGGGAGGCCAAGGAGGGTGGATCACTTGAGGTCAGGACTTCGAGACCAGCCTGAACGATATAGTAAAACCCTGTCTCTACTAAAAATACAAAATTATCTGGGTGTGGTGGCATGCATCTGTAGTCCCAGCTGCTGGGGAGGCTGAGACAGCAGAATTGCTTGAACCCAGGACGTGGAGGCTGCAGTGAGCTGAGATTGTGCCACTGCACTCCAGCCTGGGCAACAGAGTGAGACTCTGTCTCAAACAAAAAAAAAAAAAAAAAAAAAGAAAAAGAAAAAAATCTTTAAGGAGATATGCATAAATATTTCATTGGTTGACTCTAGTTATTGACACTATAACTGATTTGCATCTTCTTTCTTGCACTTTCCTAATTTAGAAAATTCAATTAATATTTCTTTAATAAAGAGAACATTGAGTGTATCTAAAAGTATGTCAATTGGTGAGTAATGAAAGAAAGTGTCAATAAAAATAACCGGAAGAGTGCAGAGAACAGGTGTAGAAATATCAAAAAGGACAAGCTGACAAAAGTTTTGATTGGTGGTTCAGGGATAATAGAGAGAGGGAGAAGGCAGGCATCCATGATAATTTACATTTTCAGCTGCATGTTATGCATGGCTGTTGATGGAATCAGCAGTGCAGAAGGCTCAGCATAAATAAATAGGAGGTGAGAATTGTTCCAAGTGAAGGAGAGGTTGGCTGTGGGAACATTCGGTCTCAAAGCAGAGGAATATTTTAACACTGACATACTTTCAAATTGCTACCCATGGTAACAGTTAAAAGCAACTTCACTGTATTTGGTTTTGTTATTATTATTATAAACTTCCACTTCCTACAAAGCATGCACTCCATCTTTGCACCTGAAAGGAGTTGTTTTCACTGCTGCCCTCTACCTTGGTTCATGACTGGGAGAAAAGAGCTGAAATTCTACAGGATTCATTTTGAGAGAGAGAATTCAAAGCACTATAGCGTTATAGCTGCAAATATCCAAGCGATATTTGGGGATAAGTGTGTGACACTGAGGAGAAATAGAGTTTGAAGATAATAGTTTAAATCTTTGTTTAGTAGTAAACACTTTCATTAGTGGCCTAAACACCTTGTTTAGTAGTAAACACTTTCACTAGTTGCCTAAATGAAACTCTCAACAGCATAACTTTCTAGCTGCATAATTTCGGCAAGTCCCTTAATCTCACTGGACCTCAGTCTTCTCATATGTTACATAAAGACGATAACAGTATAAATTCTGTAGAGTTGTATAAAAGTTAAATGAATGAATAGATGACAACAGCTTAGAACATGGCTTTAGCAGATTGTAAATACTATGTAAATATTGGATATTTTATTTTCAGTATATGTATATATTCTTTCTACAGAGCAAGCTCTTTATGCATTAATAGTAATCTTGCTAAAAATCCAAATCTATTCAGAATGAGTACTACAGAATTTTTCTTATAGAAATATTACCAACATTAACTCCTCTCTTAGATAAATGTGATTCACATTTCATCTCTTTATGCAATTTCCTTATTGTTTTATCATTTTCCTATTGCTCTATTCTATAAATAATGAATACAGCATTTTAATGATTCTTGTAAATAGAGACCACATTTTTTAACCATTGAGCATACGGACAAATTTTATTCATAATATTTTATTTCTTTCATTGTACTTGAGATTAATAGCACAATTTCTCATCCACAAAGTTTATTATAGGTTGTAAAAATGAACATGATCTCTCTTCTGATTGGCTCAGAAAAGAAGTTTAATCTTATGTAATTATCTTTCGAATCACACATGCATCAGTACAATCAAGCTCTCTATCTATTAGATCACTGAACCGTTTCACATGAGTTTACAGATTAATATTCATATAAAACTATATATCTTTCAGCATATCTCCTCTTGGTAGGTTTTCTTAAAGAAAAACAAAAAAGAGTAGCAAATTGGAACCTTGGATATGGAAGAACTGCTTAAAAAATATTCAATGAATTGCCATCGGGTCACTTTTTCCCCTTATAAATAAAAAGTTGGGGTATAAAAGCAGAAATATCATTATAAAAGAACTGGAATGTCAGAAAACACTAAGAACATTCTGTTTCAGTGGTATACAAACTTGTTTGTCCTTTTAAGCCATGAAACTTTTTCTTTAAACAAAATTTCTTCAAAGGTCTAATTCTTAAAATAGATAAACTACTGTGAAGGGCAGATGCTACGAGGACACCCCATGACCCAACTCCCAAAGCCTTTCTTTGTAATCTCTCTGCTCCAGGTAGTGGTTTGAATAAGGACGGCCTAATCCAAACATTGCCTTTTAGAGAGACCTTGAGAAGCAGTGATGTAGCCTAGGTTACAAGGTAATCCAGTAAAATGTATCCATGAGTTCCATGCGCTGACAGAGAATGCATTGTTACATTAATTTTTTTTTTATATCATCCCAACTATGGAAACTTCAGTTGCCAAATGCTACTGCTACATAATGTATTCATCTTTTGGTAGTAAACTTCTCTGCTCCAGTTTATTTTTCAGCCTATGAAGTTTTTTGTTTTTTTTTTCTTATTAAAAAAATCTCAATTTAGAAATAAAAATGAGACAAGCACAGTCAAAATTTAAATTAGCTTGGTTTCAGTTCCTATTATTAAAGAGATTTTTAAAATATCCTACTTTTGAACATCTTTGCTGCCATCCTTCATTTCTCTCACAAGGGAAATATAATTCAGCAGAGTCAATCGTGACTGTTTTGAATATGGTTTACTAAATTCACAAACAAAAAGTGTCTCTGATAGTCAACACAAATATATAAACAAGCATTGAGTAAACGGCAAGAAGGATAAAAGGCATTTTTCCAAATGAAGACTTCCATTGAAAAGAAGAAATTCAATGAACCTTCCTTAAAACATATGAAACATTCTATTGAATTTTGATCTAATAAAAAATTGTATTAAATTTGCTGTATTAGAACTGTTACACACTTGAGATCAAAAAAGAAAACAAAAAATGCCCTAACTATAGGTAGGGACATTGTAGGACTAATGGAAGTGAGTATATAAGTCCACTTGGCACCAGAGATTTTTTTCTAATGTGGAAGTGTCAAAAGAATTCTGCTCCACTTCAAAGCAGTGCCTGGCAGGAACAGGAAAGCATAAATGTCACTGAACAAACTTAGAGACAAGCACTTCCTTCACTGAAGAGAAACCTGATATCTTTCTAGAAATTCTAGTATGCTGATACAAAATGCTAGACACTATCTAATTTCATTCCTCCATATTAATCAGCACCTTAATGTATGTTGCAGTTTATAGACAGTAAATATACTTTAATATTTTCTTTCTTTGCATGGGTAAAGAATAAAGAATGCAAGTCAATAGAAAAGAAAAATTTTAAAATAATTGTAGTAATTGGCTATAACTGGTGAGTATAGCTTGGCTTTGGAGTGATGTAGCCCTATCTTTGAATGCTGGCTCCACTATTTGTTATCTATAGAAATAGACAGGTCATAGAAAGCATTTCCCATCTGGCAATGTACTTGTGAAGATTAATTAAAAGTTAATCTATTGGCCGGGCACGGTGGCTCATGCCTGTAATCCCAACACTTTGGGAGGCCGAGGCAGGTGGACCGCTTGAGTCAGGAGTTTGAGACCAGCCTGGCCAGCATGGTGAAACCCTGTCTCTACTAACAATACAAAAAATAGCCAACCATGGTGGCAGGTGCCTGTAATCCCAGCTATTTGGGAGGCTGAGGCATGAGAATTGCTTGAACTCAGGAGGCAGAGGTTGCAGTGAGCTGAGATCGTGCCACTGCACTCCAACCTGGGCAACAGAGCGAGACTTTGTCTCAAAATAAATAAATAAATAAATAAATAAAAAGTTAATATATTTAATATAGCTTGAAGAACCTAGAATAATACCTGGAACCTTATAAGCATTCATTAATTGGCAGCTAGTGAGTCCTTTAAGCTCTATGATTGCAGGAAATATACATTCACTAGGATTACCTCAAGTAATGGGGAAATGTTTTTGGAAAATAGATATGGATCAAGTAAGTTAGGAGTTCTGACCCTGCAACATGGAAATAGGGCACACCCAGGTCCCAGTTCAGAAACAAGGTAAAGCTATAGTGGTACTCTTGGCCACATCTCCTTAGTAAGACGCAGGAGTGAACCTGTTTTCCTTCAGTATTGTGACTAGCTCTACTCTACTTCTGCATCAATCAGTCCTGTTCGCAGCAACTAGTCACCTCCTCCTTTGTTTAATGTTCATCATCTTTAAACATCGACCTGCTTATAGTATCCACTTACTCCCATGTCTGCTGACTTATAGAAAAGCAAGGTACAGGTATGTGAATGTAGAATGAGCATAAAATATAATTAAATTAAAGCGTAATCAGCAGAAACTCTGTGCTTTTGCATAGTAATCCTACCAGTGAATGATTCTTTCTTTGTATCCTATTTTGACCCATCAAGACAAATTTTATTGGTCTAATTAATAACTAAGATCCCTTCTGAGCAAAGCTCTTCTGTGAGACTACATACAGACCAGTCTATAATTGCTCTGATGAAGTGCATCCGGGAATAGGGTGAGGATTGGTTTCTCGTGGCACCTATCGCAGCCATTTATCCTGGAAGAATTCCCTGGAAAGGAACTGCACATGTGGCACACACTTTTAGACTTAGCATTTCTATACTTCTCTTGTCCATTTGTGCAGAAAGGTGGAGAGATAATTCAGAAAGAGAGCTAGTTTAAAGCTAGAATAAACCATGCAAACACATTTTTTTTCTAATTTTTGCAAATTTTCTCCAATATCCTGAAGGTTAAACAGAGGTTATTCTGTTCTGTTTTCTATACCCATGCTAAGGTTCAAGAAACTATAAAAGAGGCTGGCTGACTATCTCTCAAAAGGCTTCCTAGGAGAGGTTTTCCATGGCCCTGGGTCTGGACTTCACCTAGAAGGATTTAAATCTGAGTTGATTAACAAGATGATATCCTTCATGGAAAAACTCACAGGGGCAAAGCTCAAAATAAGCTTGTTATGTATATAAAAAAGACAATTTATCAATTTAGAAAAGATGCCCTGAATGCCTGTATGTGTATGTGTGTTTGTGTAATTTTATATATTAAATAATATATAATTTTAATTGACAGATAAATTGCATGTATTTATCAGCCTATATTTTTCATGACATAGTTTTTCCTCTGGAAAAGGTAAGTAGAAATCTAAATTAAAAGCTGTATATTGCTCAATGAATTTGAAATTGAGAAATGTGTGTAGTTCAAATATTTTGTCTAGCTACCTATAGGGATATGCTTGGCCTAAAAAAATCTTTGAGCCAGAGATTCTCCTCATTTGGAGTGAGACTAGGTATCCTCCATATTAGCCTATAAGAATCTATTGTTTTTTTGGTTTCTGCTGTGGAACACTTCTCCTGTTGGGACATTCTGCATTATTTATATTAGTACATCAAATCAAGGTATAGACTTGTTTGAAAACTATTCTATCTCTCTAATAACCCTATACACTTATTCATTCATTCATTCAAAAACTTACTTACTCTGCACTTATTATGTGCCTGACACCTTAGGCACATAATAAGTGACAAAAACAATGTCAAAGACATTGACATTTGACGTTGACAAAAACAATGTCAAAGACATTGACATTTGACGTTGACAAAAACAATGTCAAAGACATTGGGGGATACAAGAGTGAATATGGAAAGCAATGTCTTTTTCTTACTTGGCCCTTAGGCTCCAGTTAAGGTAGAGAGACAAAAACCCATTTAATTATTCCATCTCTCACTCTATTGCATAATCTCAATCTATTGGAATGTAATCCGTTTAGGGATTATATGTTATAGAACATAATCTACATGTTAGAGTATACAATCCCAATTGATCCTGCAAACATTTCTAGAAAAAATCCTATCAAATGAGTAATAAAGTGTTCTAAGCACTAACTAGAAATGTATTCAGGTGAAAAAGAAAAATCCAAAAAAAAGTGTTTTTTTTTATTATGGTTTACTTGAGAATAGAACTTAAGATAGGAACATTTATCACAGATTTGACTCTTCCATAAAGGATTGATCAAAGAGCTTAATTCTCAGAAGGTAACTTAATTCACCTTGCGATGAGGTCAACATGACTATTTACCTCATAAGCAACTTGAATTTTCATAGTATAATTAGCCAGTGGTTTTTCAAGTCTAAAGAACAGCCTTTGCCATGCTAAAACATGATGAAGCAGTGACTCACTACAGAAGACAAGCCTTTTCAGAATATACTCTGTGACTCTTTTTTTTTTATTATTATACTTTAAGTTTTAGGGTACATGTGCACAATGTGCACGTTAGTTACATATGTATACATGTGCCATGCTAGTGTGCTGCACCCATTAACTCGTCATTTAGCATTAGGTATATCTCCTAAAGCTATCCCTCCCCCTTCCCCCCACACCACAACAGTCCCCAGAGTGTGATGTTCCCCTTCCTGTGTCCATGTGTTCTCATTGTTCAATTCCCACCTATGAGTGAGAATATGCGGTGTTTGGTTTTTTGTTCTTGCGATAGTTTACTGAGAATGATGATTTCCAATTTCATCCATGTCCCTACAAAGCACAGGAACTCATCATTTTTTATGGCTGCATAGTATTCCATGGTGTATATGTGCCACATTTTCTTCATCCAGTCTATCATTGTTGGACATTTGGGTTGGTTCCAAGTCTTTGCTATTGTGAATAGTGCTGCAATAAACATACGTGTGCATGTGTCTTTATAGCAGCATGATTTATAGTCCTTTGGGAATATACCCAGTAATGGGATGGCTGGGTCAAATGGTATTTCTAGTTCTAGATCCCTGAGGAATCGCCACACTGACTTCCACAAGGGTTGAACTAGTTTACAGTCCCACCAACAGTGTAAAAGTGTTCCTATTTCTCCACATCTTCTCCAGCACCTGTTGTTTCCTGACTTTTTAATGATTGCCATTCTAACTGGTGTGAGATGGTATCTCATTGTGGTTTTGATTTGCATTTCTCTGATGGCCAGTGATGGTGAGCATTTTCTCATGTGTTTTTTGGCTGCATAAATATCTTCTTTTGAGAAGTATCTGTTCATGTCCTTCGCCC
This sequence comes from Homo sapiens, assembly GCF_000001405.40. NCBI lineage: Eukaryota > Metazoa > Chordata > Mammalia > Primates > Hominidae > Homo > Homo sapiens. Next base: position 146,234,297 of record NC_000007.14, read on the forward strand.
ACTTTTTGATGGGGTTGTTTTTTTCTTGTAAATTTGTTTGAGTTCATTGTATATTCTGGATATTAGCCCTTTGTCAGATGAGTAGGTTGCAAAAATTTTCTCCCATTGTGTAGGTTGCCTGTTCACTCTGATGGTAGTTTGTTTTGCTGTGCAGAAGCTTTTTAGTTTAATTAGATCCCATTTGTCAATTTTGGCTTTTGTTGCCATTGCTTTTGGTGTTTTAGACATGAAGTCCTTGCCCATGCCTGTGTCCTGAATGGTAATGCCTAGGTTTTCTTCTAGGGTTTTTATGGTTTTAGGTCTAACGTTTAAGTCTTTAATCCATCTTGAATTAATTTTTGTATAAGGTGTAAGGAAGGGATCCAGTTTCAGCTTTCTACATATGGCTAGCCAGTTTTCCCAGCACCATTTATTAAATAGGGAATCCTTTCCCCATTATCTTTGAACTGAAAATTCACATCTTAATTTGCACAGAGTATTCTGAAATATCAAATGTATACCTATATTGGAAACTTTACCAGGTAGCACTGCCACATTCAGTTTTTACATAAGAAACTGAGCATTTTAGCATATGAGTTGGGAAGTCAATTGTCCTGCTTGATTTCCTATTTGGCATGTCTGTGATAATATTGAAATTGCTTAATGATTTTATTTATTCCTTGGAGAGGTGGATCCGTACACAATAAGCATTTGCAAACACCTGGGACAAAGTATGGACCTCTGTCAGCATAGTCTGTTTATAGGCCTAGGAAAGTATGAACAGAGAGTTGAGAAGGAAGAGGCAAAGGCATGTTATTTTACTGAGACACAATGAAATGGCTGTACATAGAAAATACATCTTAAGATATCAGAGATAAAAGCTATAAAAGGGGCAGGAAGAACAAAATGTAAAAATTAGATAGTTTCACTTATTTTTCCTTTCTACATCCTTTTTTTTTTTTAATTGGGAATCTTAGATTGGTGGGTTTTGGGGGAGGGTGGAGTTCCTTTTCTGAGGTCCTTTATTTTCTGCTTGAGTGCCTGAAAATAGATGCAAGACAGAGAATGTCTCCACTGACTCTCACGGTGGCTGTTTATTCAGAGTGCAGCCTTCATTTGGCTCTCCTGGAAGCTGGCTGTGAGACAAGGAATCCAGGCCAAGTTCTTTATTTGGCAGGGAAGTGGAGATGTAGATAGAAAAGAAAAGGCAACTAATAACACATTATCAAGTCAGTTACCAGTACAGGTAGCTGTAGCTTAATCCCACTGGGAAACTGAGAACCCTTAGAAAAGTTTGCCATCAGCATCATCTTCTCTGGGGCATAAGGGATCTGGGGTTCTTATACCCCTTTTCCCCAAGTGGTCATGATCTCTCTTGTACTTCCAGCCTGTGGTGTTTTCAGGTGCACAGGCCGTGGCTGCGTGAGAAAACTCTCAGCCCGTTGGAAGTCAGGAGTGCACCACAGTGAAAAGGGCTATGGGGGCAGAGATGGATAGAGCATGACAGTTCTGCTGTAAGTGGCCCAAGTTGAAGGGAGCTGTTCTCCCGTCTGCCTTTTTGCCTTCTTATAAAAACCAAATTAGCAAAGACATTGATACATAGACTTGTCTTATAACCAATTATGGACTTATATTAATTACCCATCAATATTCTCTGATCCATAGTACATATGGAAATGTGTGTGTGTGTGTGTGTGTGTGTGTGCGCGCGTATTTGTAAAATGCCATTATCCCTGGTATTCTATATTAGCCTAAGCTTAAAATTCAGTCCTTGTACTGTTACTTTTTACTGTACATCTGTGACAAAATTAATACTGCCATATGATGGGTGCCTAACACCACCCACTGCTTTTAAATTATATTCTCATTTTTTGTTATTCAATGATGGTTCAACTATTTCACCAAGAATTAAATAGAAGTAAGAGTCAAAATGACCAGGATATTTTCTCTAATACCGCTGTGTACTATTAAAAAAATAATTAAGATTTCTTTATTCATATCAATTATGAGTTGATGCACTGAATGATGTAATATTTATTCATGTTAACAGTGGAAAATGTGAGTGGGAACAGCTTTCATATGGAATGCTTTTCTTGTACTTTAGAAGTAAATAAATAATTAAATAAATAAGAGTTCTAATTTATGGGAAAATTGTCTTATATGAGTTGATTTTCTAAGCCTTTGTTTTACCAGCCTGAAAGAGGAATGCTACACAGTCATATTTTAATGGCTTTGTTTATTCTTTTAGAAAAAGTATCAACATGACATCATCTGAGGCTAGGTTGTGCTGCATACTAATAAAAACCTGAGAAATGTATGTTTGACTTCTGATGTAAAGGTTTTCTTTTTAATATAGACTTAATAACAATTTCATACTTAACCGATGAGAGCAGCAAATTAATCAAACAAATCGAACATTTTCTTCTCCAGGGAACTGGGGAAGCTTCTGATCCCTTGATATGATTATATCTATATATCAAATTCCATACTAATGACCCCCAAGAGAGATGGCTTTATCAATAAGATTGTAAGTTATTAATTAATTAATTAGTCTCCTGGAAATTCTACTGTGTGATTTTCTGTTTTTACCTCACAGGAGGGAGTTCTGAGTTACCTTGCTTCTTCAGAGGGTTAGATTTTTCATGTTTCAGGGTTGAACAATGAGGTGTAGGCAAGAGCTCAAGATAGCATTTGAGGGGCTTCGTTTCTGTATTTTAGACTATTAAGCTAACTTCTATAAAGGGAAAGTACTAACGTTGATATTTAGAGAAAAACACGGGGGGAGCTAAAACAAGACAGAGAAAGACAATTTGATGCCCTTAGGATGGGGTGATGACAACAGGTTTGTTCCAACATAGCAGCCATCCACATAGCTGTACCAGAAGCAGGACCTTGGCAGGGAAGTTCTGTGGCCTTGTGTGACTTTAACCCTGGGAACCCGGCAAAGATTTCTGTAGGCAGAGTTGATACAAAAGGGAATGTTCTCAAAGTAGCCACCACTTTAAATGAATAAATAGCACCTCAGTAGAAGACCACTGGCCAGTGTTCTGTCCAAATTCACACATGGAGGCAAAGGTAGCCATACAAAGTGATGAATACTGAGTTTCTTGCTAATTTCATTGAATGGGTAGCTTGAAACAATTACTTTGATTTAGAAAAAATAATGAGATCTGACATACTTTGCATTGCGTCTTCAGTTTTTCTGATCAATCCGTAAGTTACATGATCTTCACATACAAACTAAGACCATTCACATAAAAGAGAGAAAAGGAGTAATTATTTTTGCTTTCTTAGCAAGTGCCTAGAATAGCATTTTCCGGTGCATGCACTGGGGACAATCAGGGCCATAAATTTCTGATATGAAATACATTTAAGAAATACCAATATGAGGGCAATGGAAATTTCCGGTGCAAGCACTGGGGACAATCAGGGCCATAAATTTCTGATATGAAATACATTTAAGAAATACCAATATGAGGGCAATGGAAATTTCTTTGGTAATTTGCAAAACATATTAACATATTAAAGGTTCTGAAGTAACCCTTGTTACTAGTTTAACTTTCTTTAACCCAGAATTGCCCAAACTTACTTGAGCATAAAAGTGTTTTAACACTTCTGAGAAATATCCTTTCAGATACCAGATGGCTAGATAAAAATAAATAGTTGTTCTACATTGTAATAGCATCTATTACAGTTTCAAATCTAAATATCTGTCTTTGTTCCAAAAGCAAGCTTATGTATATGATTGTTTTTATTTTCTATGTAGACTCACAAAAGGAGAGACATAGAAAATTTAACTCTACACTATCATTCCCCCAGATTCAACTCTGGCATGATAAAGATCCTAGAGTGTATTACAAAGAGGTCACCCTTATAATATGGTAAATGCATATCTTCTGCTATAAATATTTTCATAAAGCTCTTCTCTTAGTCAAGGATTGAGAGTACAACTGGCCGTCTTTAGGAAATAGGAATCAGGAACGAATGGTTGTTGCTCAAAAGCATAACATTTAAGTGGGTTAACAGAGCACTTATATGAATGAGCAAGAAGATAATTGTGCTATTACACACAGTTTTACGACCATTAAAATACCTGTTCTAATTTGGCATCAGATACGTGAGCACAATGTGAAGAGCCTGAGGTTGGAATGAGAGCAGGAAAAATGTCCGAAGTTTGGACAGGGAGCAAAGAAATTGAGAAAATTATAGAATTGAAGAGAAAACCATGGTGAGGCACAAAAAAGCTGTATAATTATATGAATGATATTAGGTGGTTGGCAATAAGCAATTATTAATATTTTCTTTTATGAGTGAGGAAAAAAAAAGTATGGTCATAACAGAGGGAATGCAATTCGAGCATAAGAAGAAACACGAGAGTATTATGCTGTAGTAGTCCAGTCTCACTCTGCTATGAAGAAATACCTATGACTGGGTAATTCATACAGGAAAGAGGCAAAACTGACTCACAGTTGAGCATGGCTGGGGAGGCCTCAGGAAACTTGCAATCATGGCGGAAGGCAAAGGGGAGGCAAGGCACCTTCTTCACAAGGCGGCAGGAAGAAGTGAATGCAGGAGGAACTACCAAACACAAAACCATCAGATCTTGTGAGAACTCACTCACTATCACAAGAACAGCATGGGGGAAACCACGCCCATGATTCAATTACCTCCACCTGGTCTCTCCCTTGACAGGTGAGGATTGTGGGGATTACAATTCAAGATGAGATTTTGGGTGGGGACACAGCCAAACTATATCACATGCTAAAGCAGCCAATAATATCTCTAGGAAAATGTTGTAGTTTAGGGTAGATATGTGTTTGGAACAATTTAGATTCAAAACTCACAGAATTGTGAGTAGCAACAATGATTACTCTTAAATTAGTAATGCTGGAATATAGGTAATTTTAATTGTGTGTTCTATTCTGTGGTGCCAGTGGCATTTTCCCCCCTGATGTTATTTTTCTGCAGCTCCGGCTTTGTACATAAATGGATAATAGTGCTCCTTGGTGATCTATTTTCAAGTCAAAATTCTTTCTTATTTTCTGCTGAGGTTTAGCATTCCGTGGATAAAAAGCAAAGTTTTTCATTCCACAGCAAAATATAATGGTTAAAATACCAACAGCTTTACAGGAAAGAGGACCAGCCTAATAACCCTGAAATAGTCGCAGTTAGTGAACCCTTAGGCACAGTTTTCTCAGTAAAAAAATAATGTGATAGTTGATAGGATAACCTGGAGAATCCCACTAAGTGCTGATGTATAGACACTGTTTCAATCTTCTCACATTCATCTGACTTCCCTCCAGCCTACCTCAGTGCTGTGTTATCCTGTGTATGGACAGATTGCATGTCAGATTCCTAATTTTCAAATCAATTTTCAAATTAATAATTTAATAATAATGTCTTATACTTATGTATATTTCAAATCAACCCTGGTAAATCTGATACTTGTGTTTTATAGTCAAAGTTGAGCATTTTATGAATGCACCTTGTAAATATCACATATCAGGCAAGCACTAGAAAACCAAATCACAAACTGAACCAGGTTATCTTCCAACATTTGCCAAAATGAGATGCAACACATCTGAGGGAAATATGTATTAATCTTTCTTGTAAGTTATCTGAATTGGTTTAATGGAAATAAAATTTTAAAAACTAAAATATATTATAAATTCTCATGGATCTGTCTACATTGGTTTATAATTTATTTTTTCATTAGATTTATAAAGGGGCAATGTAAAAATTAACATCAGAATATCTTATATAACCCATTTTATCCATTGTAATAAAGTTTATTGAACACCTGCTATGTATAACTTTTGTTTTATTTCCTTTTAAATAATAGAAACTGTATTAACTATTGGGTTTCACATTTTCCTTTGGCTTCCATGAAGCTCCTGCCTAAATTTTTTGCTCAGGCACAGAAATGAATTTATCTAGGTTAACTGGATAACAGTGCATCGACCTCTATTTTACTTATAGTAGAATTTTATCTACATATTATTTCCTGTTCTGTTTTATATACCTTTAGCAGTGTAAGCTACCTTAAGCCTTTGCAGAAATCAAATGAACTATAAGTCATATATGAATAAATAAATGCTAGGTCTAATATAGAAAAATTAATACCTTGAAATAAAGGTTTATTGAGTCTTTTTTCAGAGAAGAAGCATTCCTCTAATGAAAAATATTAATCAGAACCATATTTGCTAATTAATAATTTAATGATAATGTCTTATGCTTATGTACATTAAATATATTTATATATAAATGATAATAATAATGCCTCACACTTATGTACATTAAATGCATATAATATATAATTATATATCTATATTATCACTTCTCACAGTGACCTTAGGAGGTAGACATTTTTTCTCAAATTAAGTGTGAAAAATTAGAATTCACAAATTCCAGGATTTGAACTAAAGACAACTAATTCTACATAAAGTGGTTCATCTGTAAAATTTAGTGTTTAGAACTAATGTTTGCTATTTGCATAGGGCTGCAGTATGAAAGAGTGTTGGGAAATGTCATTAGCCCGTTCTTGCTTTGCTATAAATATCTGAGACTGTGTAATTTATAAAGAAAATAGGTTTAATTGGCTCATGGCTCTGCACGCTGTACAAGTACGGTGCTGGCATCTGCTCAGCTTCTGGGGAGGCCTCAGGGAGCTTTTACTCATGGCAGAAGGCAAAGCAGGAGCTTGAACATCACATGGAAAGAGTAAGAGTAAGGGAGAATGTGGTGGGGGAGTGCCACACTTTTAAACAACCAGATCTCATGAGAGTTCACTCAGTATTGCCAAGATAGCACCAAGCGGGTAATGCTAAACATTCATGAGAAAACTACCCACATGATCCACTCAGCTCCCATCAGGCCCCACCTCCAATACTGGGGATGACAATTCAACATGAGATTTAGGCAGTGACACATATCCAAACTACATCAGGAGGTAAGGCATTTAGATATATGTGTAGACTTCAAACCTCCTTGCTGTCTCTTCAGTCCTCTAAAATGAGGTGTGTCTAAAGAAACAAAAGCTTTCATACAGACCTGTACCCTAGTGGAGATACTGAGTCATGTTGACAAGGATTAAACTAGTCTATATAGGCCATCACATAAAAATAAGCTTTATTTAGCCAGACAACAGTAACCATTGTGTTCACAAGAACACATACATACAAGCATGGCTGTTTGCTCATAGTAAAATTTTCTTTCCTCTAGCCATCAAATTATCTTGAAAATTTGCTGAACTCTTCACTGTACTAACTTAAAAAGACCATGCAAGACTTATAATAACTCATTGCATGAAGATGCCTAAGTCATTAATGTGACATTTTTTTTAGAAAGACAGCCTTCCACAAATCTATTTCTAAATATTAGAGGAAATTGTGAAATATGGTTCAGATATGATAGAGAATCATAGCCCATAGTTTTTTCCTGGTGTAATAAGACTTGTAACATTTTCAAGAAATCAAGTTTAAAGTCAATCCATAACTCTAAGAAGAATCCTACAGCCTCCCTAAAATTTGAAATTATATATATACCTATACACACACACACACAAACACACACGCACACACACAAACATATATATATGAAAAGACTCTATTAAGATAAAAATACTACCTAGAAGCCTAATGGGGAAAATATGGTTAAGTTTGCTCACACTGAATTGGAACAAAATAGGATTGAAATTTTATTCCACCATTTAAAAAGCATATGACTTGGGAAAATTACATAACTTCTTCACATGTCAATTTCTTGAGCTATAAAAAGAGTTCAATAATATAATTTATCTCATGAGGTTGTTGTGAGGATTAATTGTGATAAGGCATGTGAAATGTTTCACTCATTGTTTTTGTAAGTATTGAGTAAAATCACTGAACTGGTGATAAAATACCAGGTATAAAACTGACAATCTATCCAAATTGATTTTTGTCTTAACACATTCAGGGCAGAAGAAAATGAGAAAAAATAAAACAGGCCGGGCGCCGTGGCTCACACCTGTAATCCCAGCACTTTGGGAGGCTGAGGCGGGCTGATCAAGAGGTCAGGAGTTCTAGACCAGCCTGGCCAACATGGTGAAACCCCGTCTCTACTAAAATACAAAAATATTAGCCAGACGTGGTGGCTTGTGCCTGTAGTCCCAGCTACTCGGGAGGCTAAGGCAGGGGAATCGCTTGAACCCAGGAGGCAGAGGTTGCAGTGAGCCGAGATTGTGCCACTGCACTCCAGCCTGGCAACAGAGTGAGACTCTGTCTCAAAAAAAAAAAAGGAGAGAAAAAGAAAAAACAAAACCAAACCCTAAAAACATGGATACCCAAATAGAGTAAATTAAGAATCTAGAGACATTAGTTATCTGAAAACTATTCAGAAACTCTGCACAAACTTTTGATATTGGATTGATTAACTTTGATAATGACCTTATTTTTGGAGTAAAGTGAACACAAATATCAGTGTATTAGCCCATCCTAAAATATTATTTCATAAAAAATTAATTCATCATAAAATAACACTACATATCACCCTGCTTTCATTTTCTTAACTACATTATAGAATGATAGCACATTTAGAAGATGATGTCATCTTTCAATTAATAAAGATAGTTGTGCCTCTTAGAGAAAGGTAATAATTTCAAGAAGCTGGATGAGCTGCAAATCTACACAAATATTTTTAAGAACATATATCTATTTAACAATTTTGTGCTCTCTCAATTTTATTTTTGCTGTTTTTAGACATATGGATGTTTCTATTTTTGAAATTCTTTCTTGTTTTTGTTTGTGATTTCTGTTTTTTAGTCTTCCTCCACCAAAGCTGTTTAGTAATCTAGTTTTTTTCCATTTCATTATTTGATTAGTTATATTTGATTATTAATCTATCAAAAATTACTTCTTCAGTTGTGCAACGTGGCGATCAAAATTGATTCTCAAGTAAATACCTCAGGTTCCTAGTACCAATTATTGTCTCATCTTAATATTTATTCCTTAGTTTATTATTTCTCCTTTATTTATATTAATTATTTATGTATTGTACAATATAACTCCTACATATATAACAGGTTATATTTTTGCATTGCCATTTCTGGTTGATTGGTCTGTCTATTCGTAGGTTAATACCAGACCATTTTATTGATTTTATTCTTACATTTCCAGATCTTCTCTTTTGGGCAATACTTTCTGATTTGAAAGGAAGTAGTGAAAAAGTTTTACAAAACAGAGAGGAGGAACATGTGTTGATCAGTCACATGGTTTGTAAAGCAAAATATTGGGGTTTGTTGTATAGTGTTTACTTATTTTAAATATTAATTTTTTCTATTCAAAGAAAATATTTAATGGTGAAAATCATGAATTTTGGATATAGATGTGGGTTCGAATTTGAACTTTGTAACTTAATGGTTTTTTAATCTCTGGTAAAATCCATTAAATTCTTTCAAGCTCCTTCCTCTCTGAATGGGATTATTAATATGAATCTCATCAGTTTAGAATGAGTCCTAAGTGAGATTACAGAGGAATAAATAAAGCACAGCTTACTTGTGATTGTAAGTTCCTGTCTTCTTATATTAATAAGAAAAATAAAACGAAATAGTGCTAAAGTGTTGGGACAGCGAAAATTTTTGGAGATGGTATGGAGAGATAATGGGCGATGTTTCTCAGGGCTGCTTCGAGCGGGATTAGGGGCGGTGTGGGAACCTAGAGTGGGAGAGATTAAGCTGAAGGAAGATTTTGTGGTAAGGGGTGATATTGTGGGGTTGTTAGAAGGAACATTTGTAATTTAGAATTATTGGTGATGGCCTGGATACGGTTTTGTATGAATTGAAAAACTAAATGGAATAAGAGAAGGAGAAAAACAGGTATAAAAGGTCTAAGAATTGGGACGACTCAGGACATCTGATTAGAGAGTGCCTAAGGAGGTTCAGCATAGTCCTGCCAGCAAAGATTATTTATTTACTTCAAGAGTTAAGAGTGGCAGTTTGGGGATAGCACCAGGAGGTATCAGCTTTGATGACTTGGAGAAACAGTGTAAACCGGCAGTGTAAACAAGAGCAGGGCATGCATGAGTAGTTGAGAACGGTGAATAGGAGTATGACTAGACACAAGATAGTAGGAATGACAAGTTTTTTGGGGGCACAGTCTAAGTTGATCTGGTGTCTGGAATGAGACTGGGGCCTAATAAAAAGGAGCGTCTATACAGGAGCTCAAATGGCCTGTACCTTGTAGCATTCTGAGGACAGGTCTGACTTCTGAGAAGGGTAAGTGGTAAAAGTATTGTCCAGTCCTTTTTAAGTTGGTGGCTGAGCTTGGTGAGGTGTGTTTTTAAAAGACCTTTAGTCCATTCTACTTTTCCTGAAGACGGAGGACCATAAAGGATATAAAGGTTTCACTGAATACTAAGAGCCTGAAAAACTGCTTGGCTGATTTGACTAATAAAGGCTGGTCTGTTATCAGACTGTATAGAGGTGGGAAGGCTAAACTGAGGAGTTATGTCTGACAGAAGGGAAGAAATGACTGCGGTGGCCTTCTCAGACCCTGTAGGAAAGGACTCTACCTATCCAGTGAAAGTGTCTACCTAGGCTAAGAGGTATTTTAGTTATCTGACTCGGGGCATGTTGAGTAAAGCTAATTTGCCAGTCCTGGGTGGGGGCAAATCCTCGAGCTTGATGTGTAGGGAAGGGAGGGGGCCTGAATAATCCCTGAGGAGTAGTAGAATAGCAGATGGAACACTGAGAAGTTATTTCCTTGAGGATAGATTTCCATGATGGAAAGGAAATGAGAGCTTCTAAGAGGCGGGCTAGTGGCTTGTACTATAGCATAGCCTGCCTTTGCTTGTGTGTGGCGATTAGGCCTGGTGGAACTGCCATCAATAAATCAAGCGTGATCAGGGTGAGGAACAGGAAAGAAGGAAATATGGGGAAATGGGGTGAATGTCAGGTGGATCAGAGAGATACAGTCATGGGGGTCAGGTGTGGTATCAGGAATAATGTGGGAGGCCAGATTGAAGTCCGGGCCAGGAACAATGGTAATTGTGGGACTTAACAAAGAGTGAGTACAGCTGAAGGAGCCAGGGAGCAGAAAGTATATGCGTCAGCTATGAGGAAGAAAATAGATTTTGGAAGTTATGAGAAATGTAGAGAGTAAGTTGAGCATAGTTTGTGATTTTGAGGGCCTCTAAAAGTATTAGGGCGGCAGCAGCCGCTGCACGCAGACATGACGGCTAGGCTAAAACAGTAAGATCCAGTTGTTTGCGCAGAAAGGCTACAGGGTGCAGTCCTGGCTCTTGTGTAAGAATTCTGACCACACTAACCATGCCTAGGAAGGAAAGGAGTTGTTGTTTTGTAAGGGATTGAGGTTTGGGAGATTAATCGGATACGATCAGCAAGGAAAGCACGTGTGTTTTTATGAGAATTATGCCGAGATAGGTAACAGATGAGGATGAAGTTTGGGCTTGACTGAAGTAATGGGGGCTGTCTGTGAAGCCTTGCGGCAGTACAGCCCAGGTAATTTGCTGAGCCTAATGGGTATCAGGGTCAGTCCAAGTGAAAGCGAAGAGAGGCTGGGATGACGGGTGCAAAGGAATAGTAAAGAAAGCATGTTTGAGATCCAGAACAGAATAATGGATTGTGGAGGGAGGTATTGAGGATAGGAGAGAGGATAGGGTTTGGCACCATGAGGTGGATAGGCAAAACAATTTGGTTGATAAGGCATAGATCCTGAACTAACTTGTAAGGCTTGTCTGGTTTTAGGACAGGTAAAATGGGGGAATTGTAAGGAGAGTTTATAGGCTTTAAAAGGCCATGCTGTAGCAGGCAAGTGATAGCAGGCTTTAATCCTTTCAAAGCATGCTATGGGATGTGATATTGGCATTGAGTGGGGTAAGGGTGATTAGGTTTTAATGAGATGGTAAGGGGTGCATGATCGGTCGCCAAGGAGGGAGTAGAAGTATCTTATACTTGTGGGTTAAGGTGGGGTAATACAAGAGGAGGACGCAAAGGAGGCTTTGGATTGGGAAGAAGGGCAGCAATGAGATGTAGCTGTAATCCAGGAATAGTCAGGGAAGCAGACAATTTAGTTAAAGTGTCTCGGCCTAATAAGGGAACTGGGCAGGTGGGGATAACTAAAAGGAGTGCTTAAAAGAGTATTGTCTAAGTTGGCATGAGAGTGGGGGTTTTAAGAGGTTTAGAAGCCTGGCCGTCAATACCCACAACAGTTATGGAGGCAAGGGAAACAGGCCCTTGAAAAGAAGGTAATGTGGAGTGGGTAGCCTCAGTATTGATTAAGAAGGGGACAGACTTACCCTCCACTGTGAGAGTTACCCGAAGCTCGGCGTCCCTGATGGTCTAGGGGGCTTCCGAGGCGATCCGACAGCATCAGTCTTCAGCCGCTAAGCCAAGAAGATCTGGGAAGGAGTCAGAGAGCCTTCGGCCAGAGTTCCAGGGGCTCTGGGAGTGGCTGCCAGGTGAGTTGGACAGTCCGATTTCTAGTGGTGTCCTGCACAGATGGGACTCGGCTTAGGAGGAATCCTGGGCTGCAGGCATTCCTTGGCCTGGTGGCCAGATTTCTGGCACTTGTAGCAAGCTCCTGGGGGAGGAGGTTCTGGAGGAACGCCTGGTCGCTGCGTTTCAGATGTTTGGAAGTTCTTGTGTGCTGGAGATGTGGCTGGGGTTTGTCTCACAGTGGAGGCAAGGAATTGCAACTTTTTTCTATTATTGTACACGTTGAAGGCGAGGTTAATTAAATCCTGTTGTGGGGTTTGAGGGCCAGAATTTAATTTTTGGAGTTGTATTTAATGTCGGGAGCAGACTGGGTAATAAAATGTATTTTGAGAATAAGACGGCCTTTTGACCTTTCAGGGTCTAGGGCTGTAAAGTGTCTCAGGGTTGCTGCCAAACGAGCCATGAACTGGGCTGGATTTTTCATATTTGATGAAAGAGCCTAAACGCACACTGATTTGGGAGAGGTCTGATAAGGAAAAAGGAGCATTAACCTTGACTATGCCTTTAGCTTCAGCCACCTTTTTAAGAGTAAATTGCTGAGCAGGTGCCGGAGGGCTAGAGGTGGAACGAAACTGTAAGCCGGACCGGGTGTGAGGAGGGGAGGTGATAAAAGGATTATAGGGTGGAGGAGTGGAGGCTGAGGAAGAATTGGGACCTAGCTCAGCCTGGCCAGGAGGGGAGAGGTAGAAAAGGAAGATTAGAAAGACTCAGCGAAGCTTGGGGTTGGGACTGAGGGGACAGGTGGGAGGGAAAGAAGGAAGATTTGGGATGAGTTACATTGGGAACAGAGACTAGAGATGCACTGACATGTAAAAGAGTGCCTGGACATCAGGCACCTCAGACCATTTGCCCATTTTACGACAATAATTATTTAGATCTTGCAGGATGGAAAAATTGAAAGTGCCATTTTCTGGCTATTTGGAACTACTGTCGAGTTTGTATTGGGGTCAAGTGGCATTGCAGAAGAAAATAAGACGCTTAGATTTTAGGTCAGGTGAGAGGTGAAGAGGTTTTAAGTTCTTAATAACACAGGCTAAAGGAGAAGAAGGAGGAATGGAGGGTGGATGGTTGCCCATAGTGAAGGAGGCTAGCCCAGAGAAAAGAGTAGAGACACGGAGAAGGGTTGGGGGTTCTTGCCCTCCAGAAAAGCAGAGAAGGGGTTGGGGCACAGAGATACGAGGTCAGGGCACGGAAATAAGGGATCGGGGTGCAGAGATATAAGAGGTTGGGGCACGGAAATAAGGGATCGGGGCACAGAGATATAAGAGGCTGGGGCACGGAAATAAGGGATCGGGGCACAGAGATATAAGAGGCTGGGGCATGGAAATAAGGGGTCGGGGCACAGAGATATAAGAGGCTGGGGCACGGAAATAAGGGATCAGGGCGCAGAGATATAAGAGGTCCGGGTGCGGAAATAAGGGATCGAGGCGCAGAGATATGAGGTTGGAGTATTTGCCCCTCCTCTAGAAAAGCAGGACTTGCCGCTCAGGGTGAAGGAGAAGGGGTTGGGGGTTTCTTGCCCCCCAGAAAGGCGGAGAAGACACGGAGAGAAGGGGTTGGGGTACTTGCCCTTTCCCCAGAAAAGTGGGACTTGCCGCTAAGGGTGAAGGACCAAGGCAGGCATCCCTGCGTGGTCTGACACCTCTGAAACCTGGGTGAATAATCAGGGACGCATCCCTGGAATGATTAAACACCAGGGGAAGGCTGCCTTCCCTAGTCCATGACCAGCGCCGGAGTTTTGGGTCCAGGGATAAAACGTGTCTCCTTTGTCTCTACCAGAAAATGAAAGGAATTGAAATTAAAAGAAGGGAGAGATTGACGTGTGGCGCCAAGATTGAAAGGAGAAAGAGGTTGAGGGATGGTGAGGGAGGTTGGAGAAGAGAGTAAAAAGGGGCTGCTTACCGGATTTTAAATTGGTGAGATGTTTACTGGGCTGGTCGGTCTGAGGACCTGAGGTCGTACGTGGATCTTTCTCACGAGCAAAGAACAGGAGGACAGGGGATTGATCTCCCAAGGGAAGTCCCCTGATCCGAGTCACGGCACCAAATTTCATGCGCCTCCGTGTGAAGAGACCACCAAACAGGCTTTGTGTGAGCAATAAAAGCTTTTAATCACCTGGGTGCAGGCAGGCTGAGTCCGAAAAGAGAGTCAGTGAAGGGAGAAAGGGGTGGGGCCGTTTTACAGGATTTGGGTAGGTAAAGGAAAATTACAGTCAAAGGGAGGGTTGTTCCCTGGCGGTCAGAGTGGGGGTCACAAGGTACTCAGTGGGGGAGCTTTTGAGCCAGGATGAGCCAGGAGAAGGAATTTCACAAAACAATGTCATCAGTTAAGGCAGGAACAGGCCATTTTCACTTCTTTTGTGGTGGAATGTCATCAGTTAAGGCAGGAACCGGCCATCTGGATGTGTACGTGCAGGTCACAGGGGATATGATGGCTTAGCTTGGGCTCAGAGGCCTGACAGTAAGTGTTCAGTAAATGTAATTAGTATAATTATTAAAATATTCATGATTATTATTCCTTTAAAATATTCTAGAAATCTTCATGTTATCTAATCTGGAAAAGAATTTTTCTAGCTCCATTGCTAAAAAAATTCTTCAAATTCAAATTTATTTCTGTATCTCTTAATAGAAATGAGGAAACGTATTTCCTCTTCCTGTAATAGTAGTCTCAGAACACGTGACTGTCACTTGTGTGTCTCTGTGAGTGACTGTGTGGAAAGAACTTATCTGACTCACTCACTTCTCTGTGCCTTGGCTTTGGGTATATGGCTGCAAGTCTCTGCTAATTACTCCTATGCCACTTTCAGCACAAATATCACTTATTATGTGCTGCTTGAATATTATTTTCTTTATTTCTAAGTTTGGTCCATTCAGTCCTCTCATGGCATGAGTTGCTTTTCTTATTTCCACATAAGTATTTGAAAACTTGTCAGAATGCTATTTTCATTAGACACTTTTCATTATTACGCTGTCATCACTGAACAAGTTTATTTCAAAGCCTTTTGAGAAAAATGACAGAAAACATAGCATTTTATTTCCTTGGCCGTTCATTAGATTAGAAATGTCAAGAAAGACTTAGATTATACTTATTTTTATTAAAAGGAATGAGAGACTTTTCTTGAAAAAAAGAAAAAAAGAAATTTAAATTTTGAATGCTACGTCTTAGGGCTCTATGCAGTGAAACATTTTCTCTTCATTGTTTAGAAAGACTTACATTTTATTTTAAAATTCCTGCCCGTCTTTTTCTCTTGAAGAGATAAGATACTCTAATCATTCTAGAACACCAGCTATTAATCTGAAATTAAATCTATTACGTGCCAGAAACAAATTACCCCAAAGTTAACCTAAAATATCATCAGGGTAACACCTTCAGTTACAAATTATAGTAACATCTTAGATAATAAATTTCAGCAGCTATTAAAAGAGAGATGATAATAGTACCTTTGTCTGAGGCTTCTTATGATAATTGACTTTAAATATGTAGAGCATCTAATACTGCATGTGAGGCTGAATTCTATGAAATTACTAATACTGAAGCATTTTTGGCCTACAGAAGGAACGGTTTCATGTGGTTCAACCGAAGTGTTGCTCGTTAATTTTGAGTTTCCCATTCACCACTGCACTGACCTTTAGCCAGGACAGTACTTACTAATTATAATTTAAAGGTCGCATGGATAGAGAGCAAGGCAGACTTGTTACGACAAACCTGTGTCTTGTCTATCTTGGTATGGTGGTGCCTCAGTTAGCACAGGGCTTTCACTCTCTTACTATGGCCAGCTTCACAGTCTCTGTGACCCTTCAACCTGTCCCATGACTTCTGCTTACCCGTGGCCATGGTGTCTACTGATGGCATCACTATGCTCACTGCCTTCACCCATATGATTCTCATATGTGTAATTTACTAGCCAGTATCCAGCAAGGCCTGCTGTGTATGGGAGCTGGTGCCATAGAAAGTGTGGATGAGGTTATGTGTAGGTATCTCTGCTGGTGGTGGGTTGATGATAACCATATTTGACGCCCTTAAATTTCTAAAATTAGGAGTCATTGTATTCATTCTAGATTGAGGAGGATAGCATTTAAATGGGGCTTAAGTATGCCTTGTAAGTATGTAAAAAGATATAAAATTACCATGCATACTGTCTTTCAATAACATAACAAGACTGTAGTTTAGTGAGCTCAAGGTGACAAAATAGCCATTATTTTCTTACTGTGAGAGTCATTTTGTTTATTGTTTGCATGAGTGACAATTTTTCCAATGAAACTTTCTTGGTTAATAGACCCTTTCTTATACATAAATATGAAATAAGAGGGTGATAGAAATCAGATATTATATCTAGTTTTTATGACTAGCAGATTACACAGAATAAAAACATCACAATGACACAAAACATAATCTTACACATTAGACAAAGGCATACAACTTTAAAAAATATTGCAATCAAAAAGATGTAATTAAATTACCCTGATTCATTGAAACTTTAGCTTTTAAAAGGTTCATTTTTGTGGGTATAAATAAATTTTGTTATCTTAATTTTATACAAGTTACAATTATATTATTGTTAATGACAGATACCAAATTTAATAATGTCACCTTGTTTTATGTTTTATAAAATTTGCTTCATTTTTCCACCTAAGCAGATATGCTGTCAAAATGTGGTGTTACCTGAAATTTTAAAATGCATCTCTTTTCCTTGTGTAATTTTATAATAAAATAGTTAAGAATGAAGAATTATAAAAAAGTTAAGAATTTTATTTTGAAGACTGATATTCTAAGTTGCATATAGCAAAGAAGTTACGAACTTTTATAGTCAAGGACCTCATAACACATGATAGATGCTAATTTTAATTAAATTTATTATTTCAACTTTGAAAAATGGGGTAGGAGGAGAGTATGAATCAGAGGATGAAGTAACTCACAATTTAGGCTATAGGGGCCACATTTTTCTAACTTAATATTCCATGATTATTTCCAAAGGTTACTTAAATCCAATATATGACTCAGAGCTTCAGACTTAACGTCATACATTTTCACATAGGTTTTAATTTGTGGAGAAAGGACATATTCTGATATTATTATAGAAAAGCCATTGGATTCTATGGTGTGATAATAAGAGATTTCAGGTCTGGGTCTTCTTTATCAGTCAGCTTTTGTATTGCAATAACCTACAATCTCAATTCTCAAAGGCTTAGAGCAAGATCATTTGCTTTTTGTTCATCTGAGGACTGCCGGGTGAGTTTGGGTTGGCTGGGCTCAGTTTCACTGGGCTTTTGATTCCAGGAGCCCAGAGTGAAGCAGCAGCCACTATCCTGCAGTTTTCAACGCAGAGGACATACCAGGGGAGACAGAGGCTGAGCCAAATCAAATAATCACATTGAAACCTTTTGCTTAATCATACCAATGTCATGGCTGCTCATATTCATTAGCCAAAGCAGCCACATGACTTGGCAGAAGTTCATAGGGTTCTGATGCTTATTCCTCCCATAGAATGAACAGGAATTCTCATATAACTATAATTGACTATATCAAATCCCATTGCTGGAAGTGGGTGAATAGCTGGGAATAGTAATCCACTGTATTACATATGCCACCAAATGATTCAGCAACTTTCCAGTTTCCTACTGGACAGAGAGAGGCCTGTCTCTCTGGAAAGTCGCTCCTCCTTTATATGACCGCCCTGACAGACCTTGCACTTGCAACTTGACTCCCTGCTGAAAACCACTTCTACTCTGTTTTCGGAAATACCTGTAGTGTCAGTAGACAAAGTAGAACAAAATGAGAAAATAGAGAGAGGATGGGATCTGAAAACTAGTATAAGTCAGGGCAGGAAAAAAGGAAGAGTCTGAAAGCAAGCTTGGAGAGCTGACTCTTAGACCAGAATAGAAAACATTTTCTTCAAAATATTCGCCCCTTTTCAAATGCAGAATTAGGCCAGTTATGTTTTAGGATACCCATTGCCTTATATTCTTAAAAAGAAAAGAAAAAGAAGGAAAAGAAAGAGATAACACTTAATAGTCCATAACAAAGTGTCAACGGGATAGACACATGCTTATTCAAACCACAGATATGATCCAGTTAATTTCCTTCTTAAAATGTGCCCATAGTGTCTTATTGCCTCATCGTAATGATAATAATGAGAGCAACAATTATAATGGCAAAAGCAAGGACTCCTGCCATTTACTGTTTGTGTATTAAATGCTCCACTCTACACTAAAAGCTTTATGTACAGTCTTATTCCTCAAAATAAATATGAGAAAAACAACTTTACCAAACTCACATAGTTAATAAAAGTATTTTTATGAGCCACCACAATACTCAAAAATGGTGCAATACTGTGTTTTCATGAATTTCACCCAATCTAGCTTTCCTGACTCATCTCTTGCCTTCCCCTCTGTGATTGCTAAGTACAGACACACAGAAGTGCTGCCATTTCCTCACTATACTCTACTATTTCACGCCTCTGTGAGTCTGTATCCATGAATTTCTCCACTTGGAATGGCTTTTCTAGCCACACTACTCCTTTGCCAACCTAACAAATTCTGTTTCTCTTCTAATGACTCTTCTAGACGCAGTCCTCTGCCACCTGCTCTAGGAAGGTATGCCATAGGTAGATAAGTTGTCTCCTGCATTTGCTTGCAGTCTCCACACACTGCAGCGATCACATACACCTGCACATAAAATGTCTTTGCTATACATGCCCATTCCTGGGCCCACACAAGTCTTCCACCCTTCCTCAGGTGTGAATACCTTAAGGGTCTTCTTTATTCCTATTTTATTTTATATTCCAGTGTATGTTCTAACAAGTAATCAAGTGACTTGAATGGAAATCTCAATAGCCAAACTGAGTTGTTGCTGTACATTTTTAATATTTAACAGAGAGATGGATCTATTGGAGGCAGTCATCTGAGATGATCAGATATAATGGCCAATAGCAACTATGCTAATCATAAAATTTAAAATGTAAAAAATTGCTTCGTCAAACTGTTTTAAAAGATGTATCTAAAACATAGTAGGCTGAGCATGGTGACTCATGCCTTTAATCCTAGCACATTGGGAGGCCAAGGTAGCAGGATTGCTTGAACCTAGGAGTTTGAGATGAGCCTGAGAAACATAGTGCAACCCTGTCACTACAAAAAAAAAAAATTAAAAATTAGCTCCATGTGGTGGCATGCACCTGTAGTCCCAGCTATTTGGGAGGCTGACATGGGAGGATTTCTTGAGCCCAGGAAGTCGAGGCTGCAGTGAGCTGTGATCATGCCACTGAACTCCAGCCTGGGTGACAGAACAAGACACTGACTCATAACAAAACAGAACAAAACAAAAAGCAAAGTCAAGATTTGGATGTTCAGTGTATTCATTGCTACTTGCACACACACACACACACACACACACACACACACAAGCAAACACACACAATATAGTTTTATCAGAATACACATATTCTGATAGCAGAATTGAAAGCTTACATAACTGTGCAAGCTTTGGATTCTGCTATTCTCTGGTTTACTCATCCCCAGTTTTCCAATCCATCAATAAGGATAGCCTCAATTATCTAATAAGCATTTCATGTGTATTTCAATAAAATAATGCATTTTAATGAAAAATTCTTAGAATAGTTCTTGGCACATGCCATATTTAAATGTCGCCACTGCCTCATTCATACAGATCGTACCCAAGTAAAAGTGTATATATGGAGAATAAAAATGAAAA
Source organism: Homo sapiens (assembly GCF_000001405.40). Lineage (NCBI taxonomy): Eukaryota > Metazoa > Chordata > Mammalia > Primates > Hominidae > Homo > Homo sapiens. The sequence goes on from NC_000007.14 coordinate 146,254,473, forward strand.
CAGGAAGTAAGACAGTAAATGGAGGAAGTCATTTAGATTTGATAGCATGGTTTCCAAAGGCAGTGTCCTATTAGAAGTGTTCAGGTAAATAAAACGTTATTGGCAGAGACAGATGGTAAAGCCATTTTAGAAATAAAAATTAACCAGGTAAGCACATGCCAATTTTGGGAAAACAATTTATTGTACCTTTTTTTCTGGAGCTTATTTCAATGTAAAAGTACTTTAAAAACTTAGAAAATAGGGTACATATTAGGTAAAAGAGAGTCTTGCAAAAATGGATCCAGCAAATATTAGTGAAGAGAAAAAGATGATCAGAACTCTGAGTTTCAGTGATTTGTCTTGTACCATATTCAAGCTGTAATCACTGAAGGTAGGAAACAAACCAGCAAAACATTTGTAAGGTGATGGTATCATTTAAAAAAAATAGAGAAACATTACAGACAACTTAAATTGGAAACAAATTGGAAACAATTTTTAAAGTTATATAAACACCACATTTCAAAAGGATTGCATGATATCAGAATGGGAATTTCTAGTAGAAAGTTGAAAAAAAAAATGAGACTCAAGGGAGACTGTTAGTGTGGTGGTAAGATTGGGTAGAATAATTCAGATCTCAACCATGGGAATAACCTGTTGAATAATCATGTGAATACTAACAGGTCACAATAATCCCGTGAATGAACATGTTGAATTTCGGCATAGAGAGACAGCATTGTTATTGCCAAAAGAGCTGAGTAGAAAGGAATTTTGTGATGAGTGATTTCAAGCTACATTTCTCTGAGTATCAATGTGCCCATCTGGAAAATGCAACAATAAACAGCCCTCACATAATTGTGAATATTAAAAGATTATTTGAAGTGTCTACCACTTTGCTGATAGGGATTCAACAAAATTAAATTTTTCATACCGAAGAGTAGAATTTTCCGTCAGTACCTCATGGGGCATCAACAATGATGATAAGCAGTAGAGGCTGACTTGATATTAGATAACATTAGGTGACCAGTGAGCCAAGACATTCACTTCTTTGGCTTTCCTTCAGTAAAGTAAGTTACCTAAAATCTGAATTAGAGTAAGCAGATGTTGACAGGGATAAATGAATAGGAAAAGCATGCAGAGAGTTAAGAAAGAAGGCATCTAGGATATTTGTCAAGAAGGATTAAAGGCAGGTTTTATGTATGCAAACCTGGATGGTGAAAATGGATAGTTTACTGTGCTGACTTCGTTCAGAGGTGGTATAATTAGACAGAGAGACAAAGCCGCAAATGTGACTTAACTTGGGCACAGACTATGAGATAGTTGGCATTTGTAGCTGGAAAGTGTAAGGGCCGGTTCCAGAGGTTTGCACTGTAGCAGTCCATTGTGATGACAAGATCCTGGAATTCATCATGAGACAGAGTGAATTATGTGGAGAAGGAAAGTGAAAACAAGAAGGATGAACCCAGTCTGGTGGAATTTATGTCTTCCTCCCTTCTAAATTTTGACTGTGAATAAATCTTGTTGCAAAAGAAAAGGTCATTATTAATAGCATCAGTCATGGATGAAAACAAATTAGAAAACTTGTTTGTTTTATTGAACATGATTCAGCAGCAGAGGTGATTTGAAATATCCTATAGGGAAGGAATTCATGCATGCATAAAGTGTGTTGGGGCAAACCCTACTGGAAGCTTCTTTGGGTCATAGGTCTTCCTGGCCTTTTCATTTGTGCAGCCTCTTGGCAGGTCATCACTACTTTCTAATTCTAAGTCCTGAAAATTGCCTATGAGGTAAGTTTCTATTTCATTAAATGTTCTATTAAGACAAGTTTTCTATTGTCAGTTTTGTTATGACCAAATTCATAAATGGAACATATAATAAAATGTTAGGAAATTTGGACATTTTATTTCATGATTATTGATTTCTAAATTTATGTAAGGTCCATTCTGTGAAATTCCTAGAGAAATTTAAAGAGTTTTCTTTAGAATATTTTATTTGCAGTTATTGATACATGTAACAAAAATATGGGTAGTATTTTTGCTTTCTATGACAAAATATTTATAGTTAAGATATTAAAAATATAACGAATATTAATTATACAAAAATAATACATTTTAGAATGATAATTCAAATACAGAACCCATCAAAATCAATAACTATATGTTAGTATCAATAAAATGCCAATTAAAAATATAAGAAAATATGAGAAAATACTAAGAAAATATAAGAAAATAATTTAAGAAAACCTCTTAAGAGATAGCTTAAGAAACTTTCTTTTACCCATAAAATCCCATGCCTTACCACAACACGGCAATGCAGATATTTCCTTCAATTACTGGTGGGAAAAAAAAACATGAGATTTGAAATATCAAATAAAATGTGTAAAATCAAAAAAATAAACAGTAAGCTAAAACTTGGAGGTTTTTATTTTTTCCCTACTACATCTCTAAGGCGTTGTGAGATTCATTTAAGCTAGAACAAGTAGAATGTGTTCTAGAAATGGCATCCATAGGATAGTTTAATAACCGGAAAACAATTATCCACAATGTTTCAAAGCATACATTTGGTTTGTTTGTTTTTAGCATTTTAATTTGTAGGTTCATTCAAGTTACCACATCCACCAATTAATTGCAAAAGACCTAGCCACAGGCAATAGTTGACTACTTTTGCTTTCCTTTATTTGAACAACTGTTATTATGCAGATTTCTTGTTAGAATTATTCTGCTGTAAGAGAGTGAAGTCTACCTAATTTCATGAATATAAAGGGGGAGATGAATTATGAGAAATATACAGGAGTACTCCATGAAACCCAGCAACAAAAAGTACAACTGGAAATTACAACCAGAGCCAGAAGCAAGAGTGGTATAGGAAGAAAGATGGCTACTTCTTACATCTCTGCCTCTTTTTCTTATCTTTCTATATATCTGCTCTGTTTCCCTTTCTGTGTCAGTAAGGCAATACCTTCTGCTGTTTACAAGGCCCCAAAATGACTGTTTTACTTATACCTAGGTGTACTTGACTTTCCATTTTCAAAAACTATCACGTACTTCCAGATGTAAAAGGATTATGTCTCTTGGATTAAATTCTAGAGGAATAAAATGGGATTGGCCCAGGTGTTCTAATGGACAGTATTTCTTTCTGTGAGAATGAAGGGAAGAGACAGCAGAATATGAACATGGAAGCCCTGGCCCAATACTTTAGCCTAAGCCAGTGGTTTTCAAACTTGAGTCCCCATCAGAATCACTGGGAGGCTGTGTTAAGACACAGATTGCCAGCAAGTTTTCAGGTGATAATAAGGTCACTGGACCAGAGAACATACTTTGAAAATCACTAGTTATGCTGTGGGATTGTAACAGTTCTCAACAAGAGGAAATGGACAAATATTCCAACGATGTGCTATCTGTACCTTTTTGTGCAATTGAGCCGCTTTGATTATCCAGCAATTTTTTTTTTTTTGGAGACGTGGTCTTGCTCTGTCACCCAGACTGGAGTGCAGTGGTGTGATCTCGGCCTCAGCTCACTGCAGCCTCCACCTCCTGGGTTCAAGCGATTCTCCTGTCTCAGCTTCCCAAGTAGCTGGGATTATAGGTGTGCACCACCATTGCCTGACTAATTTTTGTATTTTCAGTAGAGACAGGGTTTCACTATGTTGGCCATGCTGATCTCGAACTCCTGACCTCAAGTGATCCACCTGCCTCGCCCTTCCAGAGTGCTGAGATTACAGGCGTGGGCCACCATACCTGGTCTATCCAGCTATTTGTCTTCATTCATTTATTAAAGAATTATTGAGAAGTTACTATATAAGAAAATAGACATTTATATTCCTATATATACAAAAATTAATTCCTTAATAAATATAGTTCATGTATGTGCCTGGATACTAAGCCTCACAGCACATATTATTATACATTTTTTAATATGTAATACCATTTTACTATTTTATTATCTAAGTACAGAACAATCAAATTTTCAGAAAATGCAATCATTTATATTTTATGCTTTATTTATTTTCCCAAATATTTATGCATACCATATGTGTTATATTGTAAATAAAAACAAAACAAGTGAAATAGCTTGTTGATGTTGGAGGTTCTCTTATTTACAATAATTTTTCTTCATGAAGAAAGATGTGTACCCATATAGTGATGGATCAAATATAAAGTTTACTTGTTACCATATATTAAGGGTCAAAATATCCTGAGAGGAATAAACTCTCTAAACTGTTTCTTCTGAAACCTGGTTCCACAGTAACATAGTCTCCTGATTTACGAATATAAAGCCAATCAATCCTCAGAGATGAGCCATTCTTTTCGTCACTGCTACTCTCTTTTGAAGTGACATTTTCCTAGCTGCATAATCTGAGATAATGTTTGGTTGTATAAAATATGCTACTATTATCACATGTATGTGCTGAAAAATTACAAATAAGCCATGTTTCTTAATTATGTTATCATACTGAGTGATATGGTTTGGCTCTGTGTCCCTACCCAAGTCTCATGTCAAGTTGTAATCGCGAAGTGTTGAGGGAGAGACCTGGTGGGAGGTTATTGGATCTTGGAGGTGGTTTCCCCCATGCTGCTCTCATGATAGTGAGGGAGTTCTCATGAAATCTGATGGTTTAAAAGTGGAAGTTTCCCCTGCACGCTGTCTCTCTCCTGCCACCTTGTAAGAATGTGCTTGCTTATCCTTCACCTTTTACTGTGATTGTAAGTTTCCTGAGGCCTCCCCAATCATGCATAACTGTGAGTCAATTAGACCTCTTTCCTTTATAAATTTACCACTCTCAGGTAGTATCTTTATAGCAGTGTGAGAATTGATTAATACAGAGAATTGGTACCGAGAGTGGGGTACTGCTTTAAAGATAACCTGAAAATGTGGAAGTAACTTTGGAACTGGGTAACAGGCAGAGATTGGAACAGTTTGGAGGGCTCTGAAGAAGGCAGGAAGATGTGGGGAAGGTCAGAATTTCCTAGAGGTATGTTGAATGGTGTTGACCAAAATGCTATAGTGATATGGACAATTAAGTCCAGGCCTTGGTAGTCACAGATGCAGATGAGGAACTTCGTGAGAACTGGAGTAAAGGTCACTTATGCTGTGCTTTAGCAAAAAGCCTGGCAGCATTTTGCCCCTGCCCTAGAGCTCTGTGGAACTTCAAACTTAGGAGAGATGATTTAGGGTATCTGGTGGAAGAAATTTCTAAGCAACAAAGCATTGAAGACGTGACCTGGCTGAGTCTGAAAGCATTCAGTCATATGCATTCACAAAGAGATTACCTAAAACTGATACTTATATTTTAAAGGAAAGCAGAGCATAAAAGTTTGGAAAATTTGCAGCGTGACCATGTAGAAAAGAAAAACCTATTTTCTTGGGAGAAATTCAAGCCAGCTGCTGAAATTTATGTTAAGTAATGAGGAGCTGAATGTTAATAGCCAAGAGAATGAGGAAAATGTCTCCAGGCCACATCAGAGATCTTGACAGCAGCCCCTCCCATCACAGACCTGTAGTCCTAGGAGGGAAAAATAGTTTCCTGGGCCAAGCCCAGGGCGATGCTGTTCTGTGTAACCTCGGGACTTGGTGCCCTGTGTCCCAGCCACTCTAGCTTTTGCTGTGGCTAAAAGGAGGCCAAGGAGCAGCTTGAGCCATTGCTTCAGAGGGTGCAAGCCCCAAGCCTTGGCAGCTTCCACATGTGTTGGGCCTGAGGGTGCATAGAAGACAAGAGTTGAGTTTTAGGAGCCTCCACCTAGATTTCAGAGGACATAAGGAAACATCTGGATGTCCAGGCAGAAATTTACTTCATGGGCAGAGCCCTCATGGAGAACCTCAATTAGGGCAATGCAGAGGGGAAATGTGGGGTTGGAGCCTGAACACAGAGTCCCCACCTGGGGCACTGCCTAGTGGAGCTGTGAGAAAAAGGCCACTGTCCTCCAGACCCTGAAACAGTAGATCCACAGACAGCTTGGATTTTGTGCTTGGAAAAGTTGCAGGCACTCAATGCCAGCCCATGAAAGTAGCCATGGGGGCTGTATCCTGCAGAGCCACAGAGGTAGAGCTGTTCAAGGCCTTGGGAGCCTCCCCTCCTTGCATCAGCATGCTCTGGATGTGAGACATGGAGTCAAAAGAGATTATTTTGAAGCTATAAGATTTAATGGCCAGCCTGCTGGAATTGGACTTGAATGGGGCCTGTAGCCCCTTTGTTTTCATCTATTTCTCCGTTTTGGAATGAGAGCATTTGTCCCGTGCCTGCACCCCCACTCTATCTTGGAATTAGCTAACTTGTTTTTTATTTTAAAGGCTTATAGAAGGAAGGGACTTACCTTGTCTAAGATGAGACTTTGGACTTTAACTTTTGGGTTAATCCTGGAATTAGTTAATACTTTAGGGGACTGTTGAGAAGGCATGACTGGTTTCGAAGTGTGAAAAGGACATGACATTTGGAAGGTGGCAGAGGTGGAATAATATGGTTGGGCTCTGTGTTCCCACCCAAATCTCATCTCAAATTGTAATCCCCACGTTTTGAGGGAGAGACTTGGTGAGAGGTGATTGGTTCATGGCAGTGGTTTCTCCCAGGCTGTTCTTGAGATAGTGAAGGAGTTCTCACAGGATATAATTGTTTAAAAGGGCTAGTTTCCTCTGCACACTCTTTCTCCTGCCACCATGTCAGACGTGCCTTGCTTCCCCTTTGCCTTCTGCCATGATTGTAAGTTTCCTGAGGCCTCCCCAGCCACATGGAACTGTGAGTCAATTAAACCTCTTTTGTTTGTAAATTACCCAGTGTCAGGTAGTATCTTTATAGCAGTGTGAGAATGGAATAATACACTTAGTTACTGAGATTAATATTCAAAAAATTAATAACATTTTATTGATAAGAATCACAATGTTATGTGAAAAGTTCCCACAATTTTTCTATGTGTAACTCAATTAGAACTAGCCCCTTCTGCTTGCCTGCTCTCATTTAAGTCATCTCTCAACTCCCAACTATATCCCAAATACACATGCAATTATAATAAATAATATAGAATTTATAGTTTTATGAAGAGATAAAAATGAGAGGGAGGGCACACCAAAAAATCACACAATTATGCTTCTTAAATTTCCCTATTACCTATATGCAGTAATTATTAAAATTTCCTTTCCCAAACTAGCTACTACATCACTCTACTCAAATCTTCTAAAAATTTCTAGGGTATCGGTTTCTTTTTCTCCTCAACAGAAAGTCTCAAAATTCTGATAACTCATATATTGTAGTCTGCAAAGGTTGTAGCTGAACAGTTTTAGAAATTCAGTCTTTAGCTCAGAACTATTCTGCTGAGGGAGACTAAATTTATTTTCTTCCAAATAAAATAAATATTATGTCTCTATTTGAAAATGTATCCTGTAATACCTAGACATGTTTTTTCATAGAAGGTTTTGAATATTTTATGTTTGAAAGGCATTGAAACCAATGATTCTATGGATAGGAAGAAATGAAATTAAACTGACTAATGAACAAGCACCTCTGAAAAATTTCAAGAATAATTTTTAAATATTCGACTGCATTGATTGTTAGAAACATGCTCAGTGTGTGTGTTGCTGTTTCTTTTATTGTTCTGCTTGGAAAGCGTGAAGGACCCAGAAGGGTGATAATTTTCCACACTGGTCCTCTCCTGTCCCTGCCACTCAGCCATTTCATTTCAACCCCTTTAGCACATGACCTTAGCCACTAACTTCTTTTTCACCAGTCATGATAAACTCAAACTAGTGGATCTAATTAGCTATTAGCACAGCTAATAATCGTGAGAACAAACTTTGTCTCTTCCATGCATTTTAAACCATAATTCCTAAAATGATCAGAACTTCAGCTGACCCCCTTGGTAACCATCACTAAAATCCTTGCCCCCCTCAATTGCACGTTAGACAACTCCTTTGGTCTTTACTTATCTGACATTTTTTCAAAATGGCCTATAGTATCAGTGCTCTGGATAATTTCCTTCCCCTAGATGGTTCCAGGAAATCCAGTTGAGCAAAGTCATACTTTTGTATGCCTTTTAAGATACAGAAAGAAATATTTCTTCTCTTCCAATGCATATAACATTTTTCCAATATGTACAAATCAAAATTTCTATTGGTAATAAAAAACAAGCAACCAACTACCAAGCAAGAAAATATTACATCAGCAATTGTTTTTATGATAAATTTTGCCAAATAACAAATAGATTTCTTGATGGCAGCTACTACTGAAAAAGCTTCATATTTAATCAAAGTTTAGTAACAGTGTGAAAATGAGGGGAAGTTGGGGTTAAGGATGATGTCATTGTTTTAGTCGCTGTGATAAAAAATAATAGACATCTAATTTTGGCATTGTTTAAAAAATATGATTTTACATTTAGAAATACTTAGTTTTAGGTAGGAACAAGGCATGTGCTTACAAATATGCAGAAAGTAATTGGGAATATATATAAGAATCACCTTAACTATCTGATCCTTAAAACCTTAATAACAATTGTGCCAGGCAAGGTGTGAGAGCCCTGGCATCACAAAGTGGTGGGCTTGTGGGTAGTGGGGTAGTAAGAAGAACTTACCAACAACATTATAGTTTTGAAAGGGAAAGTTTTGGCCAGGCGTGGTGGCTCATGCATGTAATCCCAGCACTTTGGGAGGATGAGGCGGACAAATCATGAGGTCAGGAGTTCAAGGCCAGCCTGGCCAATATGGTGAAACCCTGTCTCTACCAAAGATACAAAAAAATTAGCCGGGCTTGGTGACGTGCGCCTGTGATCCCAGCTAATTGAGAGGCTGAGGCAAGAGAATCCCTTGAAGGAAAGGAGGGAGGGAGTGAGCGAGGGAGGGAGGGAGGAAGGAAGGAAGGAAGGAAGGACGGAAGGAAGGAAATAAAAAGCCTCATGTTTAAAATGATTCTTCGCTCTCTTCTGACTTGTAAATCTCCCTTTCTCCCTTACTCTTAAGCGTAGTTCCATTTCATTGTCTTCTCTTCTTCAATTCTAACCTCTCTGGAGAAATATGAAAGAAAATCGTAGAAAAATATAATCTTGGGTTTTTTTATCAGAGTAATTCAGCTTTTTCTAACCTCATGGGCAGATTAGGCCTTACATTTTCAAGTAAAACTTTGAAATGATAATTTGTAAAGGCCTGTCCGATTAACTATTTAGATAAAAATTTACCTCTTGTAGCTTCCTAGAGGTTGTAGACAGAGCAGGGTATGGTTGGCTTCATTTTTCTCACTTACAAGTAGAGAACGGAAAATCTGGAATGAGATCAGGGATACCATATGGGATTGGAAATCACCTGTGAAATAATATTTGTAAAGCCAATTAAAGAGAGTCAAAGACAGACCTCTAAGTGCAAGTATAAAGGGAAAATAGAAACATCTCAATGTTCACCCATTTAAGGGACAGGGAAATACATTAAATCCAGATAAATTACCTGAGAGGTAATCATAATAGTTGTGTGAGTTAGTGCAATTATCTTAATTTACTTATAGAGAAAGTGAGATACAGAAATGAACGGAGCTAAATGAAGAAGTCATTATCAAATGTCTTTGACTTAAAGACTGTGTCCTTTTTAGGACAGTAGGACCTCCCTAATGAATTTATTCTCCTTCGCAGGGTCAGAATTGAGAATAAGTAAGTTAGAAAGTGATTTCACTTTGGTAGATTCCAATGCTGTCAGTCAACAAGAGAAGAATAAAAACATTGCCCTGTAGAAAAGCAATCTATCCAGGCCAGGAGGGGTGGCTCATGCCTGTAATCCCAGCACTTTGGGAGGCCGAGGTGGGCAGATCACCTGAGGTCAGGAGTTTGAAACCAGTCTGGCCAACGTGATGAAACCCCATCTCTACTAAAAAATACAAAAACTAAAAATTAGCTGGGCGTGGTGGCGGGCGCCTGTAATCCCAGCTCCTCAGAGGCTGAGACAGGAGAGTCGCTTGAACCAAGGAGGCAGAGGTTGCAGTGAGCCGAGATCATGCCACTGCACTCCAGCCTGGGCAATACAGTGAGACTCCATCTGAAAAATAAAAAAAAAAGAAAGAAAGAAAGAAAGAAAAGAAAAGTAATCTATCCAGTAAATTGAGTAACTTAATATGTTTTTATTATTCTTTCCATTAGTCTAATAAATAGTTGGCAAGAATGATGGTGGGAGCAATCCAAACGTTGACAATGAAAACAGAGACATGAGGAAACAGAAATAGCACGTGGGGTTATCTGATGGTAGGGAAGAAAGCCTGAAATAATAGGGTAAAGTGCAAGTGAAGCGAGGAAGCGAGAAAAAACGAAGCAGAAGGAGTTGAAATGCCAGAGGTGTCAGTTACTAACAACACATTTAATGTGAGAGAGGCAGATCGTTGTGGAAGCTAGAGGTGATAGCCATTCAAAGCAGATAGGGGGATCGCAGCCTATGATGCTCCAAATGCTACTGCCAAATGACAGCCACTGGAAATGCCACTCTGGTCATTGTATCATAAGATGTTAAAGGTTTGCCATTCATTAGTTTCAAAGGAATCTGAATGAGTAACCACATTCATTATAGAGACAAACAACAGATTATGAATGTGTACTTTAATACTTTAGGGGCTGAAAGGAGAAAAAAACAAAGACAATAAAATTCTAATGGCTGTATTTAAAAGTGAACATTGTGTGAGTCTAAGAAAGCTAACAGTTCACAGTTCAGTTTGTCTTAAAAAATATGTGTGTCTGTGTATAACGCTCGTATTACATATATCTCATATTACCATGTTATATAACTATCATACATAATACCATTATGACATAATACCATTATGTATGTATGTACTATAGATTATTACCATTATGTATGGTTATTTACATTATACATTATATGCCATTTAATAACATTTAAAGTGTTATAAAGATGCAATTTTAAATTACAAGTGGATTTGTGACAAGATAATTGAATCCACAATTTATGTCAACAGAGTTGGAAATTGTTGAGGCATGTTTCTAAACTTTTAAAATAGGTCTTCATTTGAGTAGATTTTCTTTTTTTTTCTTTCTTTCTTTTTTTTTTTTTTCCTTGAGACAGGGTTTCACTCCCGTCATCCAGACTGGAGTGCAGTGGTGTGATCTCAGCTCGCTACAACTTCTGCCTCCTGGGCTCAAGTGATTCTCATGCCTCAGCCTCCTGAGTAGCTGGGATTACAGGCATGCACCACAGTGCCCAGCTAATTTTTGTATTTTTTTATAGAGACGGGGTTTTGCCATGTTGGCCAGGCTGATCTCAAACTCTTGAGCTTAAGTGATTCACCTACCTTGGCCTCCCAAAATGCTATGATTATAGGCATGAGCCACTGCGCCTGTGCTGAGTATATTTTCAAATGTAGAATACTGAATTCAGTGCAATTTGATCATATTTTGAAAATTTCTGCATTATTATGTTGTTGTATTGGAACATTTGGGTTTTCGTAGTTGTTTTGTTTTGTGTCCCTAAGGGGAGATGAACCTTCTTTGTTTGCTTGAAGAATACATAACATATGGGTCTTGGTGGTTGAGAAGACCATGGAAGCCTAAAAGAACAAATTTGCCCTCTCCCAGCCTCGCTTGCAATTAGCTATTAAAGTTCTATGGGTGATACACATATTATCAAAGTTTACTGTTAGGGAAAGCCAGAGCATAAGCCATAATCACATGACTTCAGCTGAGCCAATTGTAAGCACCAGACTGAGAACAAATAATGCAAGGAGAGAAGATTAGCAAAGGCTCCCTTTGGGACCTGGCAGTTCACAGTGATACTTAGAGACAAAGGCAATGTAAGCTGAAGCAGCTAGTACTGAGAAAAAGTAGCATTATTGTCTTCACTAGACAGTGAAGTGTGGAGTGGTTTTTGACTTTGATCCTGAGTGTCTAGCCTTCCATTGTTGCTTCTGGTTTTCTGAGCCAGTGTTTGAAAGCATCCCACAGTTCTATATGCTAACACAATTAACTCTTAAAAAATTCTGTTTTTCTTTAAATCCCCCAGAGTTAGCTTCTGTTGCCTTCAACTAAAAACCTTGACAAGTACAGTAGATAAGGCATGGTTTGGGATCACAACTTGATTTTTTTTATTTTGGGAATACAAATTTAACTTGTGGAGAGACTGATGTTCTCTATCTCACCAAAAATTGTTTTTGTTATAAGCTGTATTCATAAGTGAGCTGTAATGTTAAAGAGAAAAAAGAAAAGGATTTTAAATTGCTTTCTGCAGCAGAATGGGAGGCAGTAAAAAGGACAAACTGCTAAACAGAGAAAACAAGACAATAGAAAGGAAAGACTGTTCTAAGGAGGAGCTGACAGGGCTGCTATGAAAGAAATGTAGAGTCTGGCTTTAAATTGCACATGTGACAAGAAAGATGTGATGGAAAAAAAAATGTTTGTTTACTCACACTCCGTCCACATCCTCACTGCAACACACCCACAGCACACTCTTCTAAGGAAGGTTCACATTGCTGAATTTTTTTTTTTTTTTTTTTTAGTTGGGTGTATAGCTGCCTTCAATAAAATATTTAGTCACATACTTGAACACAGTGTGAAGTCATAGGTATTTGTGTATCACGACAACAGCAGATAGGTATTTCAATATCAAAACAAAATTGGAGAAACCTGTGTAGTTGTAAAAAACACTGCATAAAATAAAGGGAGATTGAGGATGGGTGGTAGAGAGGAGGCAAATATCAGGAAAGAAGGGAAGATGTCCATGTCTGATACGGATTTTCTCAGCTGTAAATGCTGAGGACTGTTTAGTAACCCTCTTTTTATGTGCTCATCAAATGGACATTAAAATATCTATTTGTCATAGTGGTTTGTGAGATATATTCATATAGCAATTAATACTGTGAAGCGCTGAAACTTGCTCTAAGTTATACAAAGAGTGGAGACAGAGATAGCCAATTGGAAGCCGGTTACATCTAGGCCATGTGTTATTTCTGTATTTACGTAGTCTTCTCTGTGTAATTAGAACTGCTATAGGTGCTAATTGAAGGAGAACTTTAGATCCTAGATATTATAAAAAATAAATAGAAAATACCATTGCTATGGACTGAATGTTTGTGTCCCCAACATTTATATCTTGAAATTTAAACCCCAAGGTGATGATAATAGGAGGTGGAGCTATTGGGAGGTGATTAGTTCATGGAGTTAGTGCCCTTGTTAAAGAAGCCCCAGGGAACTGCGTTGGCCTTTTCACCACGTGAGGACACAGGGTGAAAGCGCCAGCTAATGATGAATCAGAAAGACTTCATCAGACACTGAATCTGTGGATGCCTTGAACTTGGACTTTCCAGTCTCCAGAACTGTGAGATGCACATTCCCGTGGTTTGCAAGGCACTGAGTCTACAGTATTTTGTTATAGTAGCACTAATGGACTAAGATTACTATGGGGGCATAAATCCTCTAAACCAGATTTTCTATAGATATAAAAATTAAAAAGAGCTATGATACAAAGAGTCCCCATTTGCTCTATATCCCATGATTTATTCATTTGATCAATAAACATATGTGCAGGGATCTAGGTATAACAACATGAGAAAGCAACAATCCTCGTGGAAATGGTGGAAGCAAGAGAAATTAGAATTTATAAATGTGTAGTGGTCATACATGGACTTCATAATAATCTAGTGAAAAACACCACATGATTTGTTCTTAATCATGTTAATATTATAACTTCTTCAGAGCTCTCGCTAAACACAGCAGCAAGAAAATCAGCCTCAATCAACTTTGGGAGAACTTTTAACTTTGCCTAGTGTCAGTCGAATGAATATCCAGGAAGCTCATGTTATACTCAGAAAACAGGAAAGCTCTGACCATTAGTCTGTGGTGTTTATCGTAGTTACCTTTGCTCTTTCTACTATAAGGTGGTGCTGAATCTTGTCCTCTGCCCTCTATTGAAACCCTGACCCTCCACGCAGAAATCTTTAGAACCACAGTTTAATGGCTATCTTTTATGGTCATCCTATAGTCAGTTAACTAACCAATTGGAGGTGCCACAAGTGGACCAAATAAATCTTCATGTTGCAAAGGAATTAAAAAACAAAACAGTACCTGGACCCAGCCCTAAGTAGGAGAGGCATGACTCCATCTCCCCTCTGGCTGAATAACCATCCATCTTATAACTCCCTGCCTTTCAGAGTTCTTTTGTTTACTTCTATCTGGATCTGCTTTTCCATCTCCACCACCAAAACAGCTCCTGAGTAGAGTGGTCTGTTTTTCAAACTTGCAACCTAAAGACACCCAAATGAAAAGAGGAAAATGAAAGAATAATTCATTTAGTTTTTTCTTGGAATAGAATTAAGGGAAAAATAGCTCACATTCTTTCAAGAGGGAACAAAAGGTAAATTAATATTTTACCATGTTATCCAGTAGCATATCCATTATTTACGTGGTCTTATTTTATTGATTGGTCAAAAGATTCACAAGAAGAAGATAGTTCAACATACACCTGTGTTTTGAGGGTGAAACTCAGCTGAAATACACTGGAAACAATAGCTGTGAAAGTCTACAAGGCAATGGGAGTGAAAAGCATAATTTAAAACCATCATCTTTACCTAATGATCAAAGCCTTTGGCCTCTAACAGAGATTCTTCATAGCAGTTCACAAAAGAGTGCCATACTGGGGACATAAGAGGGTGGGCCAGGTGGGGTGGCTCACGCCTGTAATCCCAGAACTTTGGGAGGCTGAGGTGGGCAGGTCACGAGGTCAGGAGATCGAGACAATCCTGGCCAACATGGTCAAACCCCGTCTCTACTAAAATACAAAAAATTGGCCAGGCACGGTGGCACGCGCCTGTGGTCCCAGGCACTTGGGAGGCTGAGGCAGGGGAATCGCTTGAACCTGGGAGGTGGAGGTTGCAGTGAGCTGAGATGGCGCCACTGCATTCCAGCCTGGTGACAGAGCGAGACTCCATCTCAAATCAATCAATCAATCAATCAATCAATCAATTAGGGTGTAATGGGAGAGTTAGGAAGGGATCCTATCCTACAGATGGGGTAAAGGAAATGTTATGTAAGGTGGCATTGGTACCACCTATTGATTATGCTAACTGATGCATTCCAAGTTACCAAATTAGATCTCTTATAAACTTGAAATTTTATGATTAAGTATTGCTAGTTTTGGTTTGGAAAAATGATCCAAAATTTATGTTGCATAACTTATAGTTAAAGGAAAATGTAGTACAATGATACTGTATTTTACTGTTGAAGTCTTTGTGTTGGGATTAAGTATTAAGAAGAAAATTACTGTTCAACATAACAACCGAAAGGGTAAACATATTTAAATAATTACTTAAACAAATGTAAACATTATTAATTCCAACTAACTCTGTATACACTTTCCAGCGGTTGCACTGCCTTGTTCAGATAGCTGTTGCTTCATGTGTGGCATGGCCAATTGGCTTCATATTATGAAGGATGAGAGGCAACCTGAACTGGCCAACCATGACAGCAGACCTTTCTTAGGGAAGTCAAGTCCATCATTGCCTTTTTCACTCTTCAGTTTCAAATATTGTAAGATCTTTTATATGCTGCTGTCTTTGTTAAACATGGGAGGCTCAAACATGTCATCACTCAGGACTTCATACCTGATTCCTCTTTCAGTGTTTATGGCTACTGTCTTACCCCAGGCTTTCATTTTACTCTTATTGGGACCATTTCAAGGGTCTTCTAA
Source organism: Homo sapiens (assembly GCF_000001405.40). Lineage (NCBI taxonomy): Eukaryota > Metazoa > Chordata > Mammalia > Primates > Hominidae > Homo > Homo sapiens. The sequence continues at coordinate 146,270,094 of NC_000007.14, forward strand.
CTGGACTTTCTCCCATTACTCACTCCATCCTCCACATTTTCACGATGGTTATTTTTAAATTAGGAGTCTAATCATGTTGTTCGTCTGCCCCACTGCCTACAGCGTAAACTATAGTTTATGTATAGAATTTTGTATAGAATTCTTTTGTATAGAATTCAAGACCCTCCATATTCAACCATTAATGATTCTTGTCCGTAAGCACTTAGCACAGTGCTCAACGTATGGCAGACACTGAGTAGATAAATGTGTGCTAGGTAAAATGAATTAAGGGCAATTGAGTGGCCCTTCCACCAGATGATGTCCTGGTGTCTAGAAATAGATGAATTTTGATTGTTTTTGGCAATTATCTTAAAGATTTCATATCCAGAAACTTCAATTTCATAATTTTTCTGATTAGCCCATTCCATTTTATTCAGTTGCTTTGATGATAATCAATAATAGTAATATTGTTGACTTCATACAGAAGAAAAGAAGATAACTTTTAAACAATTTTAATATTTCCAAAAGATGTTTTATGATCATTTTTTACATAAATATTATATTCTTTGAATAGATTATCTGAAATAGAATTCCAGGACCAAAGATTATCTACCACTTTAAGCCTTAGATTGTAAAATGGTCTCTTAAAAAAGCACATCAGCTCAGACCCAGATTTATAATGTTCTGACTAAATTATAACATTTTATTTAATTGTCGATAAAAAGCACACTGTTTCACACATAACACAAATTTAACTTTTTAAATTTAAATACCTTAAAGGGTCAATTATTGCAAAAGACAGATTGAGACATTCAACAAACATTTCTTGAATACCTAATATGTACAAGACCCCATCCCAGAAAACTATATAGAGTTATAGAAATTAAATTAAGTGAAAAAATGAGTATGTAAACATCAAAATAAAAAAGTTAGTTTGGAGTCAAATGTAAGCATTTGTTCTTAAAAATATTATGGTTTCCTCCAGGATTATTCTTTAGTAGTACTTGCCAATTTTTTCTCAGAATGTGTTGTCCTATGGTTTGCTTTTTTTAATTTCACAAATGTCAGAGGTACAAAAGAGTCTTACACCTTTTCTTGCAGGATTTCTAAAAATCGTATTTAGTCATCAAGACCAAATTTATCATCAAACCTTAACCCCTGAAACCAAGAAATTTATGTATACATTTTATTTATATTTTCATTTATATTTACATCTCAGCAGTGGCAAATGATACTTATATGGTTTTATGTATTTTGTACAGAATCACCATAGGATTATTGTTTTGATGTATCTAATATTAGACTGTCTAGTTAGCAAGATAATTGGAAGAATTTTACAAATTTCTGTAATATTTTAATTCTTATCTAATTGAATTAACTCCTTAGCTTCAAAGTCCCTAATAAAAAGTATAAAATAATCAAAAGTATTTTTAAAAAGCTTTTAATTTTTAAAGTAAATAATATACGGTTTATTCACTCATACATTAAGAACTTGTGAAAACAGAAACATACTTCATAATGTTAAGTTAAAATTGTTCTATTTTAGTTTTCAAATATTTTTAATTTTCTTCAAGGAGAAATGTTAAATGAAATTATAACCATTAGTTTTTATAATTTTGAAAAATTTTCTCTATTACTCTGATACTTTAGAGAGCCACAATTTTCACAAATCTTTGACATTTTAAGTTGTTTCTTGATATTTTCTTAAATTAAAAACCATGTTTATTCAGATTTATGCACATCTTTATTTCAGATAAACTATTGCTACAACTTGGTTAAAACAAAAATAAATATTTTACAATTTTTAAAATGCTGGCTTATATTAAAGTTGGTTTACATTAGAAAAAGGCTCAAAGAACTTGTATTGGAATTCTTCTACCAATAAATTCCATCTTCTACCAATAAATTCATGAAAACATTTAAAACTTTATAAGTAATCAAATAAAACTAAAATAATCTAACACTGTGTATTAGTCCATTTTTACACTGCTAATAAGGCCATACCCAAGACTGGGTAATTTACAAAGGAAAGAGTTTTAATTGACTCACAGTTCAGAATGGCTGGGGAGGCCTCAGGATCCTCACAATCATTGTGGAAGGGGAAGCAAACACGTCCTTCTTCACATGGCAGCAGCAAAGAGAAATGCTGAGCAAAAGGGGGAAAATCTCCCTATAAAACTATCAGAGCTGAGAACTCAGTCACTATCATGAGAACAGGAGCATGGAGGTAATCACTCTAATGATTCTATTACTTTCCACCCTGTCTCTCCAATGGCACGTGGGGATTATGGGAACTACAACTCAAGATGAGATCTGGGTGGAGACACAGAGCTAACCCATATTACATTGCAACACTGTTATTCTCCTTTCTCCAATTGGCTACATTTTAATAAATGATAATATGCCACTTTCAGCAATGACCTTGGAGTGAAGTACTCTGGCTCCCCGCTGGTAGAAGTCCAAGCACGGCTTTTTGAAAAGGTTAAGATGTGACCTATCCTTTAACTCGGCAATTCCACTATTGTGAATTAATCATAAAGAAGTAATGAGCATTTACAAAAATGTGTATGTGTTTGTATATCAGTGTGTGTGTGTGTATGTGCACACACACATCCACATACAAATATGTGCCCTCATGTGTGTGTGTGGACAAGAAGTCAGAGGCAATAGATTGAGGAGTAAATGGTGACAAAGGCATTGATTGTAAACAAGTCTTCCTAGGAAATTACTTATGAAAGATAGAAGAACAAAGTAGCTGGAGCAAGAGGTAAGACCTGAGGAATCTTTTTATGTTAGGGAAGATTTGAACCTGCGTAAACATTAATGAGAAAGAACAAATAGGCTAAAATAGATGAGACCAAAGGAGAAGTGAAGGAGGAGTTCACCAAGAAGCGAGAGGTATAGAATTGGCAGCACAGGTGGAGGAAGCACCTATTACATTGGGCTGGGAGGGAGTGAGGTACAGATTGGCACATGTGTGGGATGGTGAGGGTGGAAGGGTGAGAGAAAGAGAAAGAGAGAGAGAGAGAGAGAGAGAGAGATCAGAAAGGAGACATGGGGAGATATGGAAAATTTAACCAGAGGCAAAGCCACAAATTTCTGCTTTGGGAAATGTATTTTTAGTATTAAATGCGTCACGTGCAAAAAAAAAAAACAACAAAAATCAGAACTCATTCCATCTGTATTATAAGGACTGATATTTTCCTAAGACTGCCTAATAATAATAAAAAAGATTATTCACAACTATAACTAGGCCAAGTGTAATATAAAAATGTAAGATAATTTCTTATGATTTTGAACAGGAGTTGATGATCTTTATCTGTGAAGTGCCAGCTAGTAAGTATTTCGGCTCTGTAAGCCACACAATATATGTCTCAAATACTCAATCCTGTGATTGTGGCTGTAACACAAAATCAGCCATGGATTATACCTAAAGAAATGGGGGTGGGTGTGTTTCAATAAAATTTTATTTACAAAAATAGATGACGGGCCAGATGTGCTAACTTCTGGTCTGAAATAAAATCAGTGAAGAACTTGACACTGGTAAGCTAAATTTTTGTTCTCTCAGGGTATTTTAAGCTCATGCCTGATTATCATTATATATTTCTGTGGATCAAAGAGATTTTCTTCTATTTATAGCAGAACAAGGGAAAGAACACCTATTCTGCGGTCTGTGGTCCTAGATTTTAAGGACGACCCTTTTACTTGTACTGGCCGGTTACTTAAAACCTCTGAGCCCTAGTTTCCTTCTTCGTAAAACAAGGCGATGACCCTGTATTTAATCCTCACAGATCAGAATGAGAATAAAATGTAAATACTATAAAAATGGTATATTATTCATACATAAGGAAATGGTCATTTGCAACCAAATCAGAAAATGTTAGTTCGATCTCCTTATGTGTAAGACCTTGACATTATATATACATATATATGTGTATATATACACATACATATGTAATAGTTGTAACTATTAAGTGAAATAATAATATATGCAAAGTGCTTGGCTGCAGTGCCTAATATACCTTATATGCTCAGTAAATGCCAGATAATGTTCTTAATTTCTAAAGGCCCATTAAAATTCTCCAGTGCTTGTGACACATAGCGCCTGAAGGGGCAAAATCAAGTTATTCCAAGTCAAGCACAATGCTGGCAATGCCAGCCATGGGCAGGGCAGTCACAGCAACATACCTTTTAAGTAAGCCTCCCAGGGCTGCTTTGCAAATGGCGTAAGAAATGGGTATTGACAATTGTCATGGAGCCCAGTGACTCGGAAGCTGAGTTTTGCGTTCTGAGTTGAATATCAGGAGAGAGTTTTCATTCTTCTATGATTTGGAAGTTACAGCCCCAGACTAAAAGGAAGGCATCTGTTTGATTCTATAGTAACACAAACATAAAGAGACCAGATGAGACGGCATAGCTACCCCGGGGCAGTTTTAAATTAAACTGCAAATGTACTCATCAGCCCTTTGGAGGAACATTTGCCCCTATTTGTTCAGTATGTGCAGTTTGTTCACCAGACCAGGGAATGCTTAGTTATTATGTGATTCCACCCCATTAAAGTTCTTCAAGCCACCCAGGAGAGGCAGGGTAAGCAGCAATCGGTTTTCCATGGATGAAGAAGGATTCAATGAGGGAGAAATGGGCAGTGCAGGAGCAATTCTAACTCATTTCTGAGTAAATATATAGAAAACTTTGTGTCAGGTGTGATTCAACAGAAGGAAAAGCATTCTCTATAACAGTTAACCTACATTTCGAGCAAAGAGTGGGCTTTTGTTCCTTGTCTTTTAAACATTTTTATTTTTAGTTTTTATCTCAGTGAAATCAGTGGGAATCTACACTGATGCCAGGTTATGCGGTGTTATTCAAACATGAACCTTCACCTGGGACACCTGTTATCTGCAACAGAGATGATTTGGCTTTTGGCACTTAATAAGCTATTTGCCCTCTATAGTTTTAAATCCCAGGCTTTCATATAGACTTGTTTTTGACATGGTGCATTTTTAGATCCTGAATATGAAGATAATACGCACTATGCATTTGGTTCAAACATCGGATACAAGTGTCCATTGAAAGTCAATTCTCCCTCTCATTTTCTGTATCAAATAGATAAGATTTTTCACATGGATCTTTTGTCATGTTCATATTCATCATCTCAAAAATTCATGACACTTATTGTTTATAATATTTATTTGTAATCATTCAATTGTAGAACTTTTTAAAAATGTTAAAAAATAGTAACTTAACAAGACTATAGTGACCATGAATAGAGGAAGGATTCAAACCCAGATCTTCTGACTCCGAATAAGTTTTTAAAATAGTATTTCTTATTCAGAATGATCAACTTTAACATAAATAAAAACACTTAAAATAGAAGGGTATTGATATAAAGAATGATATGATATAAAGAACACAGAAAATATATTGTATAAGAAGTTTGCTTCAGTCTGTATTTCTGTAAATGATTATTTCCAAAGCTGAAGATCAAAGTAAACCCACATGTGTGTGGGGTGTGTTCACAAATTATATTAAACTTGTGTCTCCCTTCTGGCAAATTGGCTATAGATAAGAAATGTAAATCACATAAGATGCTACACGTTGGTTTACATGAGCCTCTATATCTTCCTAAGCACACATATCCACTGGCAACCACAAGAATGCGATGTAGGCACAATACTAGTCGATTTAATGTGATTCTATGATTCTCGTTTATAGAACTGGAGGTTTCGCATTTCCCATTCCTACCTAATTCAATAACTCAGATTGCTTGATTTACTTTTAGAGCAATGATTCCCTCCTGGGAGCAATTTTGCTTCCTAGCAAAATTTGGCAATGCCTGGAGACATTTTTGTTTGTCACAAGAGGGGGTTGTGTGCTACTGGCATCTTGTGGGTCAAGGCCGTGGATACTACCAAATATCCTATAATGTACAAGACAGTCACCCACAACTAAGAAATATCCTGCAAAATGTCAGTGGCACCAGAGGAGATGAATGCAAACATGCTAACCACATTCCTAGAGACTAGTACGTGAACCAGAATGCCATTTATTAATTTGCAATGATAGCTAGAACTGTCAAGGGGACCAAGACAATCATATTTACTGATGAATATATTTACTCCCTCTGGAAAACCTATACAAAAAGCCAAATTAGAACCAGACATTTATTTGCTAAACATAAAGTCAATTCTAAGAAGATAGATACTCCTCATAGAACTTATCACAATGAAAACTGATCATTTGTGTGATTATATATGTATTCCTCCTCTTTAAGTCTAAAAACTCTATTGGGATATGGAACCTATCTCAATATGCATCATCTTAACCAAGGCATCTAACTGTACTGCCTGTCATGTAGTAGGTACTAACAAATGTTTATTGAATCCATGAATGAATGAATCTTTAATGTTTCAGTTTAAAAATACATATTAAACGTATAACATATACAAAGCACAATTTGAAGCACTGGGATTACAAAATATAATAAGATAA